>NC_000009.12:103220552-103372067 GCF_000001405.40 Homo sapiens
GTTGGAGAAGGACTTAGACAGGCCTGGCTTGGTCCAGAGGACCACACAGAAGCAACAACCTATGAATTAGGGAAAATATCAGTATTCTAGCAGGCCTTTTTAGGTTTGATGTCTCTTTCTGGGATAATTAGCTAGAAATAAAATGGCAGGGTTCTATAATTCAGACCCACTTTATATTCTCAGCAAGAAGAATTTATTTTAGAGAAGCAGACTCAATTCAGGATTTGCTAAATTATGAAGTATATTTAAGTCTATGCTTTTAAAAACTAAATAAATGTAACAAAATTTAAAATTTACATAGAAAACAAACTTAAGAATATTTACAATGAACTTATAATAAAGTTATTTAACTAAAAATAACCATTGATTTTATATAATTAATAAAGTTCACACATGGATAAGATATTTTATATATAAAATTAATAATTTTGTTCTTTTGTCATATTAATCTAATATATTGTTTTATTATTTTCTAAAGTAACTAGTAACATGAAATATTTCCAGATGTCATGTTTCTATTTGACAATATGAAAGAATATCTCAAACGTAATCAGTATTCTGAGTCCAAATTATGCTAAGTTTAATCAACATCAAATGTAAATATTATACATAGAGCCAATATAAAATATGTTGAATAAATAAACATACCAAAGACTTCTGAGATGCCAAACCTTCAGAATTCATTCATTCACAGGTAAACTTTGTTGTCTAGAACATAGTACGATTTTTTGGTTTCTCTCAACTTAAAAATGCTAAAATTTCATTTACTTGTGCTGATTCACAATTCAACGAATAAAAGAAGTACACAATTTCACTGGCTTAACAATGAAAGCAACATTCACGAGTATTAAGGCTAGACAAAAACATGTTTCTGATCTCCCTCAACATAATATATTTTGGGGAAAACATATAACCTGGCAAGTGCACCTAGTTGCCTATCATATTCACTCCCTATGATTCCAGACTATCATTTGCTGATTTTTCTAATAGAGAGGGAGCTTCATTTTCACTTATTGGAGGTCACTCTGGCTTTACTTTCTTTTAATTTTACTACGGAATTTCTTCATTCACTCTCTCTGTTTATTTTCTTCTAGTATTGCTTAGGCTTCTCTTCCAACATTGACATAAAAAACAAGGACAATAGACACGGATCCTACCAAAAAAAAAAAAAAAAGAAGAAGAAGAACAACAACAACAACAACAAAGACAACAAAAACCATTACCTATCTAATGAGTAAGGGGTTGAGGTTTTGCCAAAACAATATTTTTCCTTCCTTCCTTCCTTCCTTCCTTCCTTCCTTCCTTCCTTCCTTTCATTCCTCCCTCCTTTCTTCCTTTCCTTCCTTCCTTCTTTCCTTTCTTTCTTCTTCTTTGTGAAGAATTACTCAAAAAAATTACTCAACTACTTTCATTTTGTAAACTGGAATATGCATGCAGGGAAAAATCAAAACTTGATTTCCATTAGAAATGCATGTTATCCAGGTACTTGATTATTTAAAATAAATATGTCAGTATACATTACTAGATTTCTGGAAAACAAAACATTAAATGGTTTGTAGTACTAAGTTGGTCTCTCTAAAGAAGAATTTACTAAAATAATTGATAAATTAATCTGGATGTCAGAAATGTGGTGAATCAGAAAGAATAAAATACCTACAAGTAGAACTACAAAACAGCCCTCAAATAAATCAGAAATCACACAAACAAGTGGAAAAACAATCCATACAAATGGATAGAAAGAGTCAATATCAGAAAAATGGCCATACTGCCCAAAGCAATTTATAGATTTAATACTATTCCTATTAAATGACTACTGAGACTTTTGGCAGAACCAGAAAAAAAAAACTATTTTAAAATTTATATGAAACCAAAAAGAATCCAAATCACCAAAGGAATTCTAAACAAAAAGAACAAAGCTGGAGGCATCACACTACCCAACTTCAAACAATACTACAGGGCTACAGTAACCAAAACAGCATGATATCAGTACAAAACAGACACGTGGACCAATGGAACAGAATAGAGAATCCAGAAATAAGGCCACACAACTACAATTACCTGATCTTTGACAAACTTGACAAAAACAAGTAGTGGAGAAAGGATTCCTTATTCAATAAATTATGCTGTTATAACTGACTAGCCATATGCAAAAGATTGAAACTGGACCTCTTTCCTACACCATATCCAAAAAAAAAAAAAAAAAAAAGAAAAAAAACTCTATATGGATTAAAAACTTAAAGGTAAAGCAAAAACTATAAAAACCCTGAAAGGCAACTTAGGCAATACCATTCAGGATATAGTAATAGACAAAGATTTCATAATGAAGACACCAAAACCAATTGCAACAAAAGTGAAAATTGACAAATGGGAACTAATTAAACTAAAGCTTCTATATAGCAAAAGAAACTATTAACAGAGTAACCAGACAACCTACCGAATGGGAGAAAACTTTGCAAACAATGCATATGACAAATGTCTAATATCCAGCATCTATAAGGAACATAAACAAATCTACAAGAAAAAAACAAACAACCCAATTAAAAACTGGGCAAAGGACATACACAGACACTTTTTAAAAGAAGACATACATGCAACCAACAATCATATGAAAAGAAGCTCAATATCACTGATCATTAGAGAAATGCAAATCAAAACCACAATGAGATACCATCTCACACCAGTCAGAATGACTATTACTACAAAGTCAAAAAAATAAAAGATGCTAGTGAGGCTACACAGGAAAAGAATGCTTATTCACCGTTGGTGGGAGTGTAAATCAGCTCAGCCATTGTGGAAGACAGTGTGGTGGTTTCTCAAAGACCTAAAAACAGAAATACCATTTGACCTAGCAATTTTATTACTGAGTATATACCTAAAGGAATATACATCATTCTATTACAAAGACACATGCACATGTGTATTCATTGTAGCACAATTTATAATAGCAAAGACATGGAATCCACCTAAACGCCCATCAATGACAGACTGGATAAAGAAAACAAAATACGCATCTATTTTGGTACATATACAAATACATGGTACATATACACCATAGACTACTATGCAGCCATAAAAAGGAATGAGAACACGTCCTTTGCAGGGACATGGTTAGAGCTGGAGGCCATTATCCTTGGCAAACTAATGCAGGAACAGAAAACCAAATACCCTATGTTCTCACTTATAAGTGGGGGATAAATGATGAACACACATGGACACACAGAGGGGAACGACACACAGTGGGGCCTATCAGAGGATGGAGATTGGGAGGAGGGAGAGGATCCAGAAAAATAACTAATGGGTACTAGACTTTATACCTATTACTAAGGTGACAAAATAATCTGTACAACAAACCCCCACAACACAAGTTTACCTGTATTAAAAAACCTGTGCATGTACTCCTGAACTTAAAATAAAAGTTAAAAAAATTCCCTTAAATATATTTAAAAAAGAAATGTAGCGAATGATACATTTTGATGAAAATGAAAAGTAACACTTAGGCAACTTTTCACAGTATCTTCAACTTGGAATGAAATAGAATTCAAATAAGCTTATCTTGGGGATAGAAAAATAAATGAAAGTATACCCACCATTCTATGAGATCTCTTATGATGGAAATATGATTAATATTTTGAATTTATTAAAAAAACTCTGGTAAATGAAGTTCTACTAGTGAGAGTAAAATAATAGAAGTTCAGTTGTTGTTATTTTAAAACTTCTCAATGAAGGGAGGTGAAATGGGAAATATTTTAGCGCTCAGAGAATAATTTGAGAAAGAAAATGTGTATTAGGCCAGGCGTGGTGCTCACACCTGTAATCCCAGCACTTTGGGAGACCGAGGCAGGCTGATCACTTGTGGTCAGGAGTTTGAGACCAGCCTGGCCAACATGGTAAAAACCCATCTCTACCAAACATACAAAAATTAGCGGAGCCTGGTGGCCAGAGCCTGTAATCCCAGCTACTTGGGAGGCTAAGGAAGGATAATTGCTTGAACCTGGGAGACAGATGTTGCAGTGAGCTGAGATCTTGCCATTGCACACCAGCCTGGGTGACAGAGCAAGACTCTGTAAAAAAACAAAAAGGAAAAGAAAAAAAGGAGAAAGAAAATGAGAAAATGTATATTAATATCAAAATAGGAGATTAAAGATGACAGACACTGGAAATATAGACAGGAGTACAGAATGGCTAATCTACCAGTAAGTAGAAGCACTGCAAAGAAAAGAAATGTTTCGATCACAGGTAAATTACTTAATCTCTTTGAGCATTAATTTCCTACATTTTTAAACTGGCAATGAAAGTAAATATCCGGATATTATATATCAATTCAGTTCTGTGTTGCCCCTGAAAGTGTCCTGCCTGTGTAACGTCTTTGTTGTGAAGATTAATACTAGTTTCATCATAAAATAGGCGGTGTTCTACTATTTTTCCAATTATTTATTTTGTTTTAATCTTTATTATTTCTTTTTTTCTATTCCCATTTTATCTTCTTGTTCCTTTGCTAACTTTCTGGATCAAATGTTTAATTAGTTTGTTTTCTTCTTTCTTATTTGTGCATGTATGTAATTAATTTCCCTCTGAGAGCTGTCATAGTGCTATTCCTTAGGCATTCTGATATGTACTGTTTTCATTACTGTTATATTTTAGTATACTAAATAGACTGCAGTTTCACTTTGGGTTTTATCTTTGACTCAAAAAATTATTTGAAAGAGAAAGAATATTTTTTGTTTGCTTATTTATATACCCAGATGGCATATAATTTTTTTTTCTGATTCTGTTTTTATTCTAGTTTTTTATTTCATTGTGAATGTAGATAGTGTGACATTTCTAAGCTTTGTAATTTTATTTCCAAATTATTGTTTCTTCTGAGGACTTCACACGACCAAGGAAAGTTACCTACTGATGTGCCTATGTTGACATCAAACAGAAAAACAAGTATCACCTTGCATGAATTATTTTACTTATCTGAAATAGTAGAAGCTTCTGTAGCTTTTTTACTTTAGTTTTAAATATCAACATTTTTCTTCCCACTCTATCTGTTGTGAAAGAGAAGAGTGGTTTTACCACAGGGAAAATGTAGAATAGATGAGTTTACCTGAGATAATTACTACCAAGTAAGGTTTAAAAATGAAAAGATGAAAACTTACGTTATCTCTGGGAAATACTATAATCAAATAGACATAACCACAGATTTCAGTGCCTAAGGAAACTTAAGTATGTCTATGTTTTAATTCTATAAAACTGACCACCCTTATCACTGTATCATCCTGGAACAGGAGACCCAGATTAGTCTGGCCTTGGCCAGAGTACAGTATCCTAGAGACCCAAGTCTGCTCTCAGATAGCTGTGGAATGTTGAACTGAGAGAAAAATTCCAAGAAACATCTCAAGAGAGTTCCCATCCACAACGTGGGAAGCCTGTCCTAGCAGAATAGCCAAGGCTTTGAAGGCTCCTATGCTCTGGTTTTATAAAATGTCATAAATTTCCAATTAGTAATTTTAGTTCTTTATGAATTTTTCATATAAACATGTTATAAGGGTTTTCTGTTCTTTTTCTTTTTAAAAAATGAACCAGCAGTTTTTATTTTCATTATGAATGTATTCAGCTAAGTGCTTCATGCTGTGATTTCTTCAGAGAAAGGGCTTAATGAACACTGAGCTGAATTGAACGTAACCTTTCATGTTAACCAGACTTATCACGCTCCTGTTCTATTCAGTTTGTGATGCTTTTCTAACATTTGAGTAGTTTTTGCTATGCCCCTAGAATATGAAGTCTATCAAAAGATGCAGACAGGGTGAATGCACCTTTAATTCTTGGTTTCTCTGGAAATGTCTTTTGTTCTTCCTATAAGACAAATTGGTTTTCCTTTACTAAGGGTCTTGGCTACAATGCAGTCTGCATGGCATCTGCCTCATAGAGTTAGGTTTAACATCTCATCTACGTGATTACAATCCTTCAGATACATCACATTTCTGCAGATATGGCCTTAGTTTAGTCTTTCAATTAATCATTCTTCCTTCCCTGTGTCTCTTTTTTTCTGGGGAAGGTTTCAATATGTCAGAATAGAATTATATCTCCCATTATATTTGAAGCATGAGAAAAGGAAAAACAAATACTGACTGTGTAGAACTAAAAACAAAAACATGGCAAGCACCAAATCACTTCTCTGTCTGCAGTTTGTAAATGGCACAATAGTAAGTTATGTTGCTTGACATTTGTAACTAAAGGACAGAGCAGATGGTAAGGACTTATTTAAAATTAAAACAGAGAAAATATTTATTTAAATGAATAGCACTGCCAAGGCGTGATTTATTCTGTGTAGGGGCAGGCATGTGTTCAATAAAGCTTGTTCTAAACTAGAGTGAAATAATTTACTACAAATTGATAGGCCCTCATTTAAGTGAATTTCTATTAAGAAATCTACATTGACAGAAAAAGATTCTCCATTGCATTCACCATGTATCATCCTGAAATGTTAAGCACATTTAAAACTCAATTATTGTCTTTGGTTTTCAAGAAATAACCCATATAAGACCCTGCCAACCAGATATTGATTATTGGATTTATGTTTGAAATAAAAGACAATTTGATTTCATTTGAAGTCTTCAGGGAAAAGATATTGAACTTCATATTCCTCAGTGGGGACAAAAAAAGAAAAAAAGAAAAAAAAAGACCTAGACAGTAAGTCAAGTGATTTGGGAAACAGATTAAGTTTCTTAGGCCATTAGGTACTATATGGCTGTTTCTTAATTTTCTGTGACTGATGCATTTCTTTGACATTCCTACCCTGAAAATTGGGTTAAACCGATGAACCACATTTTTGCTGTAAAACTGCAGTTGACAGAAATATAGAAGTGAAGATTCAGAAGCATTTACATGGCTGAATATCTCCAGACCAGAAGTTACAAACTGAAATACCTATAGGGTTAGGGTAGGTATAGGACAAAAGATACACATTTTGTACCAAAGACTCTGCTTTCCTATTAAACAACAATAATAATATTTATTTCTACAAAGAAACGTAGTCTCTCTTTCTCTCTTTTTTGAAACACTAGCTCATTCAGATTTGTTTTTCCTTTGTGAACTTTTGCTAGAAACATATAAAGAGGGAAATATTTATTTACTCTAAAAAATCCTCAAGACATTTGATGATGAGTGATAACCTACCTTCAGCCTCTCTGTCAAGGAGAACTGGAAAGTGTGTTTCCTGTCTAAAGGGTATAGCTGCAATGCTGAGCCAATATTTCCAAATGTGTTCACTTTCCCTACAAAAAAAGAAGAAAATAAAATCTTTAGTGGAAATATCGTAATTTTTCTAAAACGTTGGAATAATTTAACAATTTTTAAAATGCCATAAAGGAAAACATTTTAGATCAAACAATATTGGTCTTCAGATAAAACTGAGCAACAGGGAGAGTTCTCTCAAACATTGTGTTTATTTAAATAGATATTGATAGAGTCCTACAACCTGAAAAGGCAAGCAGATTAGAGTCTGACTCTATTATTAAGTGAAAAGCCAACAACTGCAAAACTAAATAGAATCCAGTACTCAAGCTATGAATTTAAGCAATTTTTAGATGTTACCTACATTCCCTAGTATACCTATGATGAACAAACTAAATACAAATAATTAAACAGTCAAATCTTTCTTATTTTTGTATATGAGTCTTGATCCATCTGCTTTAGCTGTCTTTAGAGTTTTCCCAGTATGATTGGAAAGAATTATTACATTAAAGTGTTTACAGTATCCCCTTTGTATGAACATTTGTATGAAATTCTGAGATGTTCATTATTTAGGGTTTGAGATTATTTGTTTGTTTGTTTGTTTTACATTCTTTCAGCTGTTGAAAACTATAAATTAACTAACCACTGAGGAATAATTACCCAGAAACTAAAACTTCTTACTACATGTTGGCTTTGGATGAGTTATTTACCTTTCTATACCATCTGTGAAATAGAAACAATATTAATACTAACCTCTCAGGAATGTAAGGATTAAGTGACATACTGTATAAAATGCTTAAATCATGGTCTGGCACAGAAAGTACTCAGTAAATGTTAGTTATCAATATAAATTTAAAATATTATTAATTAATAACTATTTTCTGGTAGAGAAGATGTAAATGAGGAGGAATTTCTAGAACATTAGATACAATTGTTCTCTCACCCTCCCATTAAAATCAAAAAGTGTAGTGACGCTAATGTCTTACACTCAGCGATTAAAATGACATACATTTATAAAGAAAAGGTCATGAAATTATATCTCAGTAATGGTCTGACATCAAAACCAATCTGCTAGTTGTAGAGATGAAACCAAAGACAATTGACAACTCATCATTACAACAAAAACACCCACAAAGTCAGGTAGAGTAAACATGTAAGTCATAAATTCAAACCAAGAGATCATGAATTGGCCCTTGTGGTTGAGATAGATGACAAAAAAAAATGAAATACTGCCAGACTAAATCATTTCAATCACTGGAATCCTCATGGCATAAATTTATTCTAAAACAGTTTCATTTATGGTTGATGCAGTTGCTCATGCAGGAATAATGAATAAAAGAGAAATTATTAATATCTTTCTGTAGGAAGTTACTAATCAAACTAACAGTCAAATGAAAAGCAGAGGATTGAGGAAGTTACCGAACTTGCCAAAGTTATAAAGCTACAAAAGAGTAAAAATAGGAATTCAAATGTGGACCTCTCACCCTTAAGAAATAATGCTCTTTTATTGCTATCTTACCATTTAGGGAGTGAGAGATTTCTCACTTAATGATCACTAAAAAGCAGTAGTTTGAACAAACAAATGTGTAGGTGGAGAACAAAAATTTTCACACAAGCGCAGTATACTCGTTTACCAACTGGAAAGGCACATTAGCCATTTGTTCATAGGCATTATTCAGTTGCTGAGCTTATTTGTAACATATTTAAGGTCAGGCATAGATTTGGGAATAAAATAAATGGTTTTTGTCTCAATTATATACTGTGATGTTAATATTTTTTGAGAAATATTTCATTTTTAAGTAGCCACAAGCATATAAAAACCACATCATCAGTCACATTTTACTCTGACAATAAAGAATGAAATTGCTACTATTAGCCTGATTGTATTCTGGATAATAATGACAGCCACGGAAGAAATACGCAAGTCTATTGAATTCACTTATCTATACCGAAGGAACAAAGGTAGGTGTAAATAAAAAAGGCAGAACTATTAAATAGATTAAGGATTTTCTTCCATGGGTGACTAAAATGTAACAGCTTCCGCTAACTCAGAAAATTACACTGTAAGAATTGTTTGAGTTCATTTCAGTGTTATATTTTCCGTACTTGTCACAGATGGGCAATTCAAAGCCTTTTCTACTGATTCAAATATAAATGCATAATGTTAAAATATTCTCCTTTCTAAACAAGACCTCATAATTCAATTGTAAGTATTGTATGAACACTTTAGTGAACTCTGGCTAGAGTCCTAACTCAGTTCACTGTCCACCTGTATTTCATTATGTTGAATGTGAAAAAATCATGTCCTAACCCCTCAATATTTTCTCATCAAGATTTCCAAATATGTTTCTAATAAATAAATAATAAATAACTTTCAAAATGTAGCCACTGATGTACTTCAGATCTTCTATGTAACTACTATGCAACTATTCTTTCTTTCTCTTTTTTTTTGAGACTGGAGTCTCTCTCTTATTGCCCAGGCTGGAGTGCAAAGGCACAATCTCAGCTCACCGCAACCTCTGCCTCCCGGGTCAAGCAATTCTCCTGCCTCAGCCTCCCGAGTAGCTGGGATTACAGGCATGCGCCACCACGCCCGGCTAATTTTTGTATTTTCACTAGAGACGGGGTTTCTCCATGTTGGTCAGGTTGGTCTCGAACTCCTGACCTCAGGTGATCCATCCTCTTCGGCCTTCCAAAGTGCTGGGATTACAGGCATGAGCCACTGCACCCAACCATAACTATTCTTTCAACCCAGACATAGATATGAAGAAGATACATGCACTCTGATTTTCAGCAACTTGACAAAAATAACGTTATAGAAGATATCTACAGTGATCACAGAATTAAACGTTATTGATAAATTAAACAAATCAACAAGCATTGTGCAGTTTAAATTACAACAATGAAAGATATCTTGCTCTTACCTATAATACCCCTTAAATACAAAGAATGCAATCAATGCAATAAGTTCCAAAATAGATCCTTTCTGAGTCAAGAAAACAAAAAATTATTGAGCTGCATATTTGTTTGGTTTTTCAAAATTCATTCATATTTTTCTTGATAAGAACGTTTGTTTCTTTTGTATGTGTCCTCTTTTGGCTACATATATCCTGCCACCTTCTCAACAACAAAAACACAAAGTTGGGCATAAGGACTTGAATATACATTTCTCCAATGAAGATATACAAATGGACAACAAGCACATAGTAAGATGTTTCACATAATTAGTTCTTAAGGAAATGCAAATCAAAATCACAATTAAATAGTACTTCATACCCACCAGGTGGGCTACTGGGAAAAAAATAGAAAATAACACGTCTTTAAGAATATGTGGAGAAATTAGAACCTTTGACGGTAGGAATGTAAAATTGTGCAGACACTATGAAAAACAGTCTGACAATTTCTCAAAAGTTAAACAATTACCAGAGTGCCCAGAATGCCCATACTTGGATATATAACATAATTAAAAACTCATACTAAAACAAACACTTGAATACATGAATAGTCATAGCAGCACAATTTACAATTGTCAAAGGTGAAAACAACCCAAAAGTGCATCAATAAATGAATGGATAAACAAACTGTGGTGTACACATGCAATGAAATATTACTCTATAAAATTATTCCATATTGCAGTATTGTCCGATAAAAAGAAATGAAGCATTAATACATGCTATAATGAGAATAAACCTCAAAAGCATTTTGCTAAGTGAAAAAAGCTAGACACCAAAAGTCACATGTATGATTCAATGTATATAAAATATCCACAGTAGGTAAATCTATAGAGACAGAAAGCACATTAGTGGTTGCCAGCAGCCAAGGGAAGGGAAGAATGATGAGTAACAGCTTAAGGGCTAGGGGGTTATATTTTGGGGCAATGAAAATATTTTAGAACTAGATAGAAGTGGTGATTGTACAACATTGTGAATATACTAAATGCTACCAAATAATTCACTTTTTAAATTTTTTTGCAGAGACATCTCAAGCTGGAATTCAATGGCGTGATCATAGCTCACTGCAACCTTGAACTTCTGGGCTCAAGCAAACCTCCCACATCAGCATCTCAAGTAGCCAGGACTGCAGGCATGTGCTACCATACCTGACTAATTATTTATTTTTATTTTTATTTTTTTTTACAGAGACAGGGTCTTGTTATGTTGCCCAGGCTGATTTTCGACTATTTTCCTGGACTCAAGCAATCCTCCTGCCTTAGGTTCCCAATGTGCTGGGATTACAGGTGTGAGCTACTGTGCCCACCTATTCACTTTAAAATGGTTAATTTTATATTTTGTAACGTTCACTTCAATTAAAAAAGGATATACTCTTGTCCTTTGCCCAAAGGAATAACAACAAGACCAAAACTTAGACAGAGTCTTTTATTGAAAACCTTAATTATTAAGTGAGAGCTGAAATTATTTAAAAGTGACTAACCCTCTTTCATTACAATGGAAGTCTTACGATGGTGATGATTATTATTGGTATTATAATTATTGCTATGTTTCTTATTGACATATTCATCTGTTTTTTTACCCTATAACACCAAATGTATTTCTATGAACAGAATACAAAACAAATCTATGCAGGAAGATCTTCTAAGCTTTGCACTTCCAGACGTGGTGGATACAGCTGCTAGCTTTAGCGTCATTCCACCACAGGTTTCCATTTGAAAACTTAGGACCAGTTATTTACTCATAGCCTTAAGCCTTATGTTACATTGCTCTTTTCATTATAAATAGCACACTTATATCCCCAAACTGTCTAGAAAATAGTACAATAAATTGCCATAATGAAAACCAGTAGCTTTTTTTTTTTTTTTTTTTTTTTTTCTGAGAGCACCACTACTGCTCCTCTCGAAAGGGAATTTCTCAAGAATTTGTCCCTATATATTTCAAGTTTTGGGATTAGAAATAACATATTTAAGACACCAATGCTTATTTCAGGCCATTACTATTAGAAATTTACCTACAAACACTGCTTTTCCTTTAAAAATTGTAACTAATACACTTTCTCTTCTGTGCTGCCTGTTGATGCAGGACTTACAGGTACTCATTCTCATTAATCAAAGAGTTTACCAAATTTCTCACAGTCTTTCTGTCCAATTCAAGTTATACCAACTTGTTGACATGCAAGGTCATCAACAACTTTTCAAAGTGGCTGTTGACAACATATAAGTTAAATAAACTTTCATTGATTATTCAAGTCATTACACCCAAGTCTTCAAAATATCAGTTTGTGAATGACTCCCAATCATAGACCTCCAACACAGATCCCTCAATCCTCATGCAGTGCACTTCTCAATCATGAAATCTTACAGGCACTTCAAAATTATTCTGATTAAACTTAACTTTTACACACGTTTTTCTTCTACCATTTAATCTTTCTACCATGCAGTTAGAAACCAATGAGTCATCTTTGACCTTTCCCTCATTCTTATAGGGTCTCATTCACCTCATCTTAACATTTCTATCCTTAGAGTTCTATCCTGAATTTCTATCTATGTTCATTCCACAATATTAGGTGTTTTTTTTTAAATCATTTCTTACTTCGATCTTTTTAAAAGGCAAATGTGCTCAAATGTAATTTGCACTAAAATATTTCACAATTTGTATTTGTCATTTTAAATTCATCATCCTTAAACCTCATATTCTGCCACAGCTTTCTATCACTCTATTGTTTCCTTATTTATTTATTTGTTTATTTATTTATTTTTTTGAGACAGTCCCATGCTGGAGTGCAGTGGCATGATTTTGGCTCACTGCAGCCTCCGCCTCCTGGGTTCCAGCGATTCTTATGCCTCATTCTCCTGAGTAGCTGGACTACAGGAGCACGCCACCATTTCCAGCTAATTTTTGTATTTTTAGTAGAGATGGGGTTTCACCATGTTGCCCAGGCTGGTCTCAAACTCCTGGCCTCAAGTGATCCACTCAGCTCAGCCTCCCAAAGTGCTAGGATTACGGGCATGAGCTGCCACAACTGGCCTCCTTTTTTTTTTTTTTAAATATACACTAGCATGCTTTCACTCAGCCCTAAGCCTTTATAAATGGTGTTCCTCTTGCCTTGAATGCTCCTAACCAATTATTGTTTCCATGCTCATTCTAAAGAAATCAGTTCTGATTGACTAACTCCCAGGAGCTATATCCTTTCTCTTACCCTTCTACCATTACATATCCATCTATTTGTTTTCATAGCAATACTTTTTTTTTTTTCCTATTTTTTTTAGACGGAATCTCTCTCTGTCACCCAGGTTGGAGTGCAGTGATGATCTCAGCTCACTGCAACCTCCAGCTCTCTCATTCAAGCAATTCTCCTGCCTCAGCCTCCCAAGTAGCTGGGATTACAGGCTCTGGGCACCATGCCTGGCTAATTTTTGTATTTTTAGTAGAGACGGGGTTTCACCTTGTTGGCCAGGCTGGTCTCAAACTCCTGACCTTAGGTGATCCGCCTGCCGTGGCCTCCCAAAGTGCTAGGATTACAGGCGTGAGCCACTGTGCCAGGCCTCAGTGCATTTTTGTCATTGTACTTATCATATTAGATTGTAAATCGAATGTTTAGTATAATATTTATGAAAAAATACATAATTAATACAGGCCTGTGAATGCAAAAATAAATGAATTTACAAAATCAAACTTTAAAACAATTATTTTAAAGTATCCATAGAAAATATTTGTGTAATGTGAAATAAGGTTTTATATTATGAATGGATTAGATGTGTTTACAATTAATATGTAAATGTAGAGTTTGTAGTTGGAAATGTTTACAATTGAAAATGTAGTTGCCAACAGAAGAGCTATTTCTTTGAGGGTCTATCTTACTGACTGGGTGTAGAAACAACTCATACAATGTAAACCAAAACTACACAAAATGCTTTATAAGTGTAGTAGGTTTTATGAAAGAAAAAGAAATTGAATAATACAATGGAGGGTAACTGGTTTGCAAGAAGGTATTTTGTTTCATATTATCAGGGGAGGCTACTTGGAAGTGGTGTCATTTTATCTGAAATTGAAAAATAAATGGCCAGGCACGGTGACTCATGCCTGTAATCCCAGCAGTTTGGGAGGCCGAGGTGGGGGGATCATGAGGTCAGGAGTTTGAGACCAGCCTCACCAACATGGTGAAACCCCGTCTCTACTAAAAACATAAAAAAATTAGCTGGGCGTGGTGGCGGGTGCCTGTAATCCCAGCTACTCAAGAGGCTGAGGCATGAGAACTGTTTGAATCCGGGAGATGGAGGTTGCAGTGAGCCAAGATTGCGCCACCGTACTCCAGCCTGGGCGACAAAGCAAGACTCTGTCTCAAAAAAAAAAAAAGAAAAATAAATAAGGGTCCACTACATGGTGATGCAGGAGGAAAGTGTACAGGAAGATAGAATGGCAGATGAAAGACCATGAGATTGGGATGATTTGGCATTTTTCTGTAACTGAAAAAAGAGCTAGTATGATTGAAAAGGTGATGAGATTGAGGAGGGCTATGTGTATTTAGCCATAGAAGAAGTTTTTCAATTAGATTTTATTATGCTATCAAAAAGGGCAATGAGAAGGCATCACAAGTTTTTAGACAGAGGAGTGATGAAATCTAAACTATTTGTAAAAGCCGTTATTGATGAGGTAAGACAATTTTAGGAGGGTAGGGTGTGTTGTGCCAAGAATAGAAGCAGGGGACCAATGAGAAGATTATTGTAGTCACCTATTCAAGCAATGAGAGAAACCTAGAGTGGTAGCCATGGAAATGGAAGAGTAAACGGATTTCATTATGTCTTTTTGAGATAATCTGAATAAGAATTGCTGATAGGTTACATATGAGGGAGGAATACAGGAAGGAAGAGCACACACTGTATCCTAAATCATTTGCTTCATAATTAGATGGATGGGGATGACATCTACTGATATGGGGTTGAAAGGAGAGAGAGTAAATCATCTTTTAAAAATATTAATTTTAACACACCTAACATCACTCAAATGGACACATCAGGTAAACAAGTGTCGTCATAATAGCATGTTAAAATGTAAAGTTTTGAAAGAGACAAACATTCAGCAGATATCAAATACCAAACAACCTATAACACAGACCTTCTTGGGGACTCTAAAAAGAAAGTACTAGAGAATTATTTAGATTATTTACTTTCACAAGGGATTTACATTATTGTGTGGCTGGAAACTAAGAGTGTTGTTAAGAGAGATCTGTTTAAGGCTTTCAACAGTTGCTGTTGTAAGCCCCATCCTTGCTCAAAAGAGACTTAATGAAATTATTTGGCGACCTCGACATATGGTCCAACAGTAAGGAAAAACACACTGGACCAGAATCTTACGCCTTCTTGGGAAATGTATAGGATGAAAGACTGGCTGACTATCCACTTAGGTGGCAGAACAAAGGAAGCAACTGTGGCTTTGGGAATCATTTTCACTCCCATATATGTCTCAGAAAGAGAATGCTTGAGTGGATCTTGTGGATTGTCTGTGGGCAATGTAGCAGAGAGGGGTACCTATGCACAGACTTCTAGGGGGGTGATATGGGCATTAGGAGTAAAATATAACTATGGAGTGAATCGCTACAAGAAAGACATAGTCAACCTCAAGACTGAACCAGATATACTAACATCAAGGTTGTGCGTGTGTGCGTGTGTGTGTGTGCATGGCTACGTGCTCTTGCATGTGTTGGAGAAGGTGGAAGTTCTGCAAAACACTAATAAAATCCCCCATTAAGAAAACAGTGATATTTAAACAATTCTCAAACCCAGGCATGATAATGGCGTTGTTCGACAACCTTAGGAATTCCTTTACTTGTATTCCCTGCCCTTCCTGACCTCTACTTCTTCCTTGTTTCCGCATAAACAACAGGTGTTAAGGATAGAAATATAATGTAGTAAAGAACAGGATACACTGTCAATTAGTAAAAGATCTATCCTGCAGCAGGAGTTTGCAGAGGGAGAATTCATTCAAGGTTTGTTCCTATTACATAAATGTAAACTTTTTTATTGTTGAGATTGTTTTGGCAATTTATTATGAGCATAGAGCTTTCTGGTACCTAAGAATGAACAGAAAAATTCATGTGGCCTCAGAACACTTTCAACCACTTGCAAGGGAAGGGTAAGGACAAGAATGCAGATACAAATTGGAAGCCAAAAAGATGTAGTTGGTATTTGAAGCCGTAAAACTGGACGAGATAACTCATAGGGACTAAGCCTCAACCAGGCAAATGCATGCTGCTCTTACCTCTGTGGTTCTGAGAAGCCACATGCTGTATTTCAGAAAAGCATAAAACAATAGAGAATGATGTCATTTAGCACTATCTTTTCTAATTGCAGAAATGTCAGCTATCCAGCAAATGCCTGGATCTATAGTATATTTCTTTAAAATTTGCTAAACTTTTTTAGAGAAAATAATTATTTCAATGGAAATGGAAGAATTACTTGGCAATGAGTAAAGGAATCATCCACTATATTTAAAAATATATTAAGTTAATCTCACTTAAAATGTAGTGTAATTCTAAAAATAGAAAACCAAAGAGCACATTTTCTCACTTATAAATGGAAGCTAAATGATGAGAACACATGGACACATACCAGGGAACAACACACAGTGGGGCCTGTCAGAGGGTGGAGGGCGAGAGAGGGAGAGGATCTGGAAAAATAACTAATGAGCTTAATAACTGGGTGATGAAATAATCTGTATAACAAACACCCATGACACAAGCTTCCCTATGTAACAAACCTGCGACTGGGGAGGAGCCAAGATGGCCCAATAGGAACAGCTCCAGTCTACAGCTCCCAGCGTGAGCAACGCAGAAGACGGGTGATTTCTGCATTTCCATCTGAGGTACCAGGTTCATCTCACTAGGGAGTGCCAGACAGTGGGCACAGGTCAGTGGGTGCGTGCACCATGCGCGAGCCGAAGCAGGGCAAGGCATTGCCTCACTCCGGACGCGCAAGGGGTCAGGGAGTTCCCTTTCCGAGTCAAAGAAAGGGGTAACACACGGCACCTGGAAAATCGGGTCGCTCCCACCCGAATACTGCGCTTTTCCGACGGGCTTAAAAAACAGCGCACCACGAGATTATATCCGGCACCTGGCTCGGAGGGTCCTACGCCCACGGAGTCTCATTGATTGCTAGCACAGCAGTCTGAGATCAAACTGCAAGCCAGCAGCGAGGATGGGGGAGGGGCGCCCACCCTTGCCCAGGCTTGCTTAGGTAAACAAAGCAGCCAGGAAGCTCGAACTGGGTGGAGCCCACCACAGCTCAAGGAGGCCTGGCTGCCTCTGTAGGCTCCACCTCTGGGGGCAGGGCACAGACAAACAAAAAGACAGCAGTAACCTCTGCAGACTTAAATGTCCCTGTCTGACAGCTTTGAAGAGAGCAGTGGTTCTCCCAGCACGCAGCTGGAGATCTGAGAACCTGCAGACTGCCTCCTCAAGTGGGTCCCTGACCCCGACCCCCGAGCAGCCTAACTGGGAGGCACCCCCCAGCAGGGGCACACTGACACCTCACACAGCAGGGTACTCCAACAGACCTGCAGCTGAGGGTCCTGTCTGTTAGAAGGAAAACTAACAAACAGAAAGGACATCCACACCAAAAACCCATCTGTACATCACCATCATCAAAGACCAAAAGTAGATAAAACCACAAAGATGGGGAAAAAACAGAACAGAAAAACTGGAAACTCTAAAAAGCAGAGTGCCTCTCCTCCTCCAAAGGAACGCAATTCCTCACCAGCAACGGAACAAAGCTGGACGGAGAATGACTTCGACGAGCTGAGAGAAGAAGGCTTCAGACGATCAAATTACTCTGAGCTACGGGAGGACATTCAAACCAAAGGCAAAGAAGTTGAAAACTTTGAAAAAAATTTAGAAGAATGTATAACTAGAATAACCAACACAGAGAAGTGCTTAAAGGAGCTGATGGAGCTGAAAACCAAGGCTCCAGAACTACGTGAAGAATGCAGAAGCCTCAGGAGCCGATGCGATCAACTGGAAGAAAGGGTATCACCAATGGAAGATGAAATGAATGAAATGAAGTGAGAAGGGAAGTTTAGAGAAAAAAGAATAAAAAGAAATGAGCAAAGCCTCCAAGAAATATGGGACTATGTGAAAAGACCAAATCTACGTCTGATTGGTGTACCTGAAAGTGATGGGGAGAATGGAACCAAGTTCGAAAACACTCTGCAGGATATTATCCAGGAGAACTTCCCCAATCTAGCAAGGCAGGCCAACGTTCAGATTCAGGAAATACAGAGAACGCCACAAAGATATGCCTCGAGAAGAGCAACTCCAAAACACATAATTGTCAGATTCACCAAAGTTGAAATGAAGGAAAAAATGTTAAGGGCAGCCAGAGAGAAAGGTCGGGTTACCCTCAAAGGGAAGCCCATCAGACTAACAGCGGATCTCTTGGCAGAAACCCTACAAGCCAGAAGAGAGTGGGGGCCAATATTCAACATTCTTAAAGAAAAGAATTTTCAACCCAGAATTTCATATCCAGCCAAACTAAGCTTCATAAGTGAAGGAGAAATAAAATACTTTACAGACAAGCAAATGCTGAGAGATTTTGTCACCACCAGGCCTGCCCTAAAAGAGCTCCTGAAGGAAGCGCTAAACATGGAAAGGAACAACTGGTACCAGCCACTGCAAAATCATGCCAAAACGTAAAAACCATCGAGACTAGGAAGTAACTGCATCAACTAACGAGCAAAATAACCAGCTAACATCATAATGACAGGATCAAATTCACACATAACAATATTAACTTTCAATGTAAATGGACTAAATGCTCCAAATAAAAGACACAGACTGGCAAATTGGATAAAGAGTCAAGACCCATCAGTGTGCTGTATTCAGGAAACCCATCTCACGTGCAGAGACACACATAGGCTCAAAATAAAAGGATGGAGGAAGATCTACCAAGCAAATGGAAAACAAAAAAAGGCAGGGGTTGCAATCCTAGTCTCTGATAAAACAGACTTTAAACCAACAAAGATCAAAAGAGACAAAGAAGGCCATTACATAATGGTAAAGGGATCAATTCAACAAGAAGAGCTAACTATTCTAAATATATATGCACCCAATACAGGAGCACCCAGATTCATAAAGCAAGTCCTGAGTGACCTACAAAGAGACTTAGACTCCCACACATTAATAATGGGAGACTTTAACACCCCACTGTCAACATTAGACAGATCAACGAGACAGAAAGTCAACAAGGATACCCAGGAATTGAACTCAGCTCTGCACCAAGCGGACCTAATAGACATCTACAGAACTCTCCACCCCAAATCAACAGAATATACATTTTTTTCAGCACCACACCACACATATTCCAAAATTGACCACATAATTGGAAGTAAAGCTCTCCTCAGCAAATGTAAAAGAACAGAAATTATAACAAACTATCTCTCAGACCACAGTGCAATCAAACTAGAACTCAGGACTAAGAAACTCACTCAAAACTGCTCAACTACATGGAAACTGAACAACCTGCACCTGAATGACTACTGGGTACATAATGAAATGAAGGCAGAAATAAAGATGTTCTTTGAAACCAACGAGAACAAAGACACAACATACCAGAATCTCTGGGATGCATTCAAAGCAGTGTGTAGAGGGAAATTTATAGCACTAAATGCCCACAAGAGAAAGCAGGAAAGATCCAAAATTGACACCCTAACATCATAATTAAAAGAACTAGAGAAGCAAGAGCAAACACATTCAAAGGCTAGCAGAAGGCAAGAGATAACCAAAATCAGAGCAGAACTGAAGGAAATAGAGACACAAAAAACCCTTGAAAAAACTAATGAATCCAGGAGCTGGTTTTTTGAAAGGATCAACAAAATAGATAGACCGCTAGCAAGACTAATAAAGAAAAAAAGAGAGAAGAATCAAATAGACGCAATAAAAAATGATAAAGGGGATATCACCACCGATCCCACAGAAATACAAACTACCATCAGAGAATACTACAAACACCTCTACGCAAATAAACTAGAAAATCTAGAAGAAATGGATAAATTCCTCGACACATACACTCTCCCAAGACTAAACCAGGAAGAAGTTGAATCTCTGAATAGACCAATAACAGGATCTGAAGTTATGGCAATAATCAATAGCTTACCAACCAAAAAGAGTCCAGGACCAGATGGATTCACAGCCGAATTCTACCAGAGGTACAAGGAGGAACTGGTACCATTCCTTCTGAAACTATTCCAATCAGTAGAAAAAGACGGAATCCTCCCTAACTCATTTTATGAGGCCAGCATCATTCTAATACCAAAGCCAGGCAGAGACACAACCAAAAAAGAGAATTTTAGACCAATATCCTTGATGAACATTGATGCAAAAATCCTCAATAAAATATTGGCAAAACGAATCCAGCAGCACATCAAAAAGCTTATCCACCATGATCAGCTGGGCTTCATCCCTGGGATGCAAGGCTGGTTCAATATACGCAAATCAATAAATGTAATCCAGCATATAAACAGAGCCAAAGACAAAAACCACATGATTATCTCAATAGATGCAGAAAAGGCCTTCGACAAAATTCAACAACACTTCACGCTAAAAACTCTCAATAAATTAGGTATTGATGGGACGTATCTCAAAATAATAAGAGCTATCTATGACAAACCCACAGCCAATATCATACTGAATGGGCAAAAACTGGAAGCATTCCCTTTGAAAACAGGCACAGGACAGGGATGCCCTCTCTCACCACTCCTAGCTCTTTAGTTTAATTAGTGGGTGCAGCGCACCAGCATGGCACATGTACACATATGTAACTAACCTGCACAATGTGCACATGTACCCTAAAACTTAAACTATAATAAAAATAAAAATAAAAAATAAAAAATAGAAAATAAAAATAAAAAAAAAAACAAACCTGCACATGTACCACCGAACTTAAAAGTTTTAAAAAATTTAGTGTAATCCTAGCAAGTATGGAAGGAGAAACCAGATGCTGAAGCTATGGGATACAATAGGGGGGAAATGTAAATTTTGACTCATACAAATGTACTGTTGAATCCAGGCTTCAGCAATTTTAAAGTTATGAAACAGAAATGCGCCTAAATGGCAAAATATATCTGCCTCATGTGGCTACTGTACAGGTATGTGAAGTGATTCAGGCAAAGAACCTGTGTAGTATTTATAAAAATATTAGTTTTTTCCCCTAATAATTGTAAAGAATGTATATCTTCCAATTCATACTTTCTAAATATAGTATTGCTAAGTATATATAAGCATACTGATCTGAAAACCTCACCCTTAAATCTTTAATACAGCTGGTGTAATACTTACAAAATGCTTACTTCAGTCATGCAGGCATATTAAGATTCTTTGCACTGTTATTTAAATGATTGGTAGGCTTTGAAGACAGATTTCACTTCATTTAAAAGATTTCAGTCTCACAGGCTCTGCTGCTCACCCCCAGGGCATCCTTTCCCCATGGCTGATTGATTCATTACACTGTTGTTACAGTTCATTAAAAGAATGAGGGATGCTGATAATTCAGCAGATGCAATTCGCTGGCCTCTGTATGAGTCACCTACCACTGTGAGTTTTGCCCTGTGAAACAGGACAGCATAATGTGGGAGAGTAAAGAAAAAAATGGTCTTTGCTTGAAGCCCTCATGTTTGGTTTAATACATCTTTTGTAAATCAAATCAGAAAAACATCCCCCCAAATTTTAAGTTTTGTTTGTTTGGGTTTTTGGGTAATATTTTTGACACGACTGTTTTACAGCAAGAGATAGTCACTATGACCCAGTGTAAGATTATTTTTCTGACAACACTGATCTCTATAGCAGTAGCAACAGTGGAATTTTACTACCAAGAAAAGATCTTATATAAAGTAAGTGATGTAACATGGCAATATCATATAGAGAAAATTGTCAGCTGACAGGTGATTACTTAGTGTGTGCTAGACAGTATGTTAAGTACTCAAAATTTAATGGTAAACATGTCAGACATAGGATGTGAAAGAAGGATAGTAGGTACTGTAGAGTGTTGCATTATCGGTCTTGCTACCAGTTAATGATAAAGGGTAAAGATAGACTTGCTAGGAGGATTCGCATACTAAATACACAAGATTTGTCTGATTAGACTAGGAGGGTAAACTATTCTTTGGTGTGGTCTATGGAATCAAGGTGAGGGGGGAATTTCTGTCATTCCTATCAGTCAGAGTTGGACCCATGGGGAGAAGATTTTATTTTTATTCTGGGTTCCATCATCTGGTCCATTTGGAGGAACTTAGGATGTCAGATTTGATAATCTGTGGTGTACTGTTTCATCTAAATCCAGAACATATGAGAAAAGCCTGAACCTGTGTAGCCCTTTGGCCAGCTGCTTGATCATAGAAAAGGGGACGGTGTGGTACCCTCAACGTTTGTAATTTAAGAGTTTTTCTGTGAAGTAAGAGAGGAGAGCAGCACCTACAGAATGAAGATGACAGTCAAGGGAAAATTAGGAGATGACTAACGTTTGTTTCCAACAGAATGCCAGAAACTTTATGCAGACAGCAGTGTAAAATCTGTCAAAGAGTAATTAATCAGTTAATGTTTGCTAATTAATGAGTGATTGAATTAATGAATAAGCATCATGTGCTAGACAATTGCTTTGTGAGACATAAAAGATAGGAAAGTGGAGATGAAAAGGACAAATAAAGACTAAACACATAATATATTTTGCTATAAATAATGCTCTATTTCAGTTTGTTGGAGAGCTGCAATTTATACTGCCACAACTTAATTTTGAAAAAAATAATTCTTAAATACTGAGAAGAACTATGGAGAATTCTAATGAAAAAAAAATTCATTAACATACTAAAATAGAAAGCAATCAATCATTGGCTAACTCAGCTGAAATAAAAGAGAAATTGAATATTTGCATACTGTTCACTTTAATAAAGAAAGTTTACATAATTTATCTCTCCTAATTCTTTTTCATTCTTAGCTATCAAATCGGTCTTTTACAAACTACTTACATGAAGACAAAAGTGCTGACTGCATATTTTCAGAATTTCAGTCACCATCAACTTCTCCTGTCCGTCAAACATGCAGGAACAAAGTACAAAAGTATTTAATATTAAATTATTATCTTTGGTATCCTAATTAATTACCTAAATGATTTTAGAAGTGTGTACAGCTTCCCAAACAAGAAAGCTTTTCAAAAATATATTTTAAGGCTTTTTTCATTATTGTGTTACTGGAAAGGGGGTCTGATCCAGACCCCAAGAGAGGGTTCTTGAATGTTGTGTAAGAAAGGATTTGAGGCAAGTCCATAGAGTAAGGTGAAAGCAAGTTTATTAGGAAAGCAAAGGGATAAAAGAATGACTACTCCATAGACAGAGCAGCCTCAAGGGCTGCTGGTTGTCCACTTTTGTGGTTTTTTAAAAATTATGTGCTAAACAAGGGGTGGATTATTCATGCCTCCCCTTTTTAGACCATATTGAGTAACTTCCTGGCATTGCCATGGCATTTGTAACCTGTCATGGCGCTGGTGGGAATGTAGCAGTGAGGATGACCAGAGGCCACACTCATCGCCATCTTGGTTTTGGTGGGTTTTAGACAGCCTCTTTACCGAAACCTGTTTAACAGCAAGGTCTTTATGACCTGTATCTTATGCTGACCTCCTATCTCATCCTGTGACTTAGAATGCCTAACCATCTGGGAATGCAGCCCAGTAGGTTTCAACCTCATTTTACCCAGCTTCTATTCAAGATGGAGTTGCTCTGGTTGAAATGCCTCTGACAATTGTATTCTGAGAATCTTTATTTTCAAAACTGTGTATAGCAGAGATTTTTATGCAGTCTGGCAAGATTATGTAGACTGTAGTAAAGTTTGTTGCATGGGCTCAATATACCATGTAACAAAAGCTTTATTCTGGCACTGTCCAAGTCAGAATTTTATATCCCAGAAATATAGTACTTTATCATACTATAATGGTCAGGAATTTTCTTTTATCTGGTTCACAAATTATGTGTTCCTTTTATGGAAATTTATATATATATGTATTGTGTGTGTGTGTATATATATATGTGTGTGTGTGTGTGTGTGTGTGTGTGTATATAATCTCCAGCATGCATTATACAACCTCAATTTTCTCATCAGTAAAATGGGTCAGATAGATAATAATCAGATGCTCAACTTACTATAGGATTATGTCCCCAACTATTTAAAAATATTTTCAGTTTACAATGGTTTTATACTGACATAACCCCATCTTAAGTTACTGAGCTGCTGAATGTTTATCGCTTTTGTACAATAAGAAATCCAAAGAATCTTCAATTGAAGCATCATAAATCGGGGACCATCTGTGTAGTTAACTTGCTAGTCTTTGCCATACGAAAATTCCTTAAACACACAAATGATTGCATGACTTAATAAATCTGAATTTTTAATTACTTCCTAATTTACATAGAAAATAGTTTAACCACTACAGCTATCAATTCTAAATCACCCAGGGTAGAATCCAGGGCATTCCATAATAATGCAGAGATTATAGGAAATATAGCTTCTGATGGGTAGTGTATTACTTGGGCATGAGGATGCAATGGCAATTAGGGATGAGAAGAAACTTTTCATTCAAAAATTAAAATGGCTTTTATCATTATGAAGACATGTATTATTTAGAAAATGAAAAGTCCAGGCTGCTGTAGAAACTGAAATTTCCCTTGCATTTGTATACCTTTCTTTTACATAGGAGATCTGTAGTTTTGTATGTAGAGTCACCAGGCTTCTCTAGTTTCACTTGGGCATATGCAAAACCTCTTAGATCTCTAGTCCTTCAAGCACTGCCTGAGATCCATTGTTATACTTGTCACATTAAGAGCCTCATGATCAGATTTTGCCTTGTGCTTAACTGTAATGCATAATGTTAGAGATGCTGATAACAAAAGTCCTGTGTTACTAAGTACGCAGTGAAGAAGAGTGACTCACAGGGCTTAGCATAATGTTTACCTTTCCCTCACTAGAAAAAAATATTTTATAATCTTGATGAAATAAATATCACATGGAACAATCAGGTAATCTTGACCACATTTATTGTGCTTTTGTTTTGAGCCTATAGTTTCACCAACAGACCATTTCAAAATCAATTCCAATTTTACAAAATTTGGTTTTAAAATATATTACTCCCCTGGGCCAAATTTTAATTTAAGTTTTCTAGTGAGTTATGTACTTGAGGCCTTTGCAGGCTGCTCTGTGTATTTAGAGCATAAGAATTCATGAGACAACCTCAGCATTCTCATTAGAAACAGCATGTCCAAAATCATTACTGTATCTGCAGGCTCCTTAGCTAATAGACACAGAAATCTAATGCAGACCTAGTAATATATTTCAGTTGTCCTTGTTGGTCTATATACCTTCTCAAAAAGAAAACCCATATATTTTGATGAGGATAAATTATAATTCTTTTTCCCAAGTCAGTTTTGTCTCTAATGAGCTTGAACCGGCAATGGTGTTATGCAATCAGCACATCAAAACTAATGATGGTTTATGTGTGAGACACAAAAGCTTAAAATCAGTTACCTACGAGTTTTATAATTGTTGCCAAAAGTCTACAGGTCTGTGTTCCATTTAAAAAAAATACTTCCTAAACTAAAAGAAACAGAAGCCTGATACAAAAATAATGTATACAGAATAATTTCATTTATATAAAGATCCAAAATAGACATGACTGATCTTGAATGTTAGAAGTCAGGTTAGTAGTTAATTACACTTAGGAAGAAAAAAAAAGACTAATAATTGTGAGCAGACAGAAAAGGAGCTTATGAGATGATGATAATATTTCATTTCTTTACCTGAATAAAGTTATGTGTAGATGTTCATATTGCAGACTTAGGATTTGTGCACTTTTCTGTGTGTATGTTATCAGCAATAAAAATGCTTTGAAACTTGTAAGCTGTATGATAATTCCATAAAGTTGAAATCAATTGTCAGAGGATTTCTTAACTGCTACCATTGTGTCTACATCTCAGTCTTCTCTTTGTATAAAGAAAAAAACAAAAACAAAATATAGCCTTGCCCATTTAGGGGCACAGAATGAGTTTATGAGAATACTAATAGTTATGTCTTTGTTCCAAGAAGATTATTTCTGCAAAATTGTTATTATTATCCATTTTATCTATACAATTCCAAAAGAAGCTAGTAAATGAAAAATTCTTTATAAGCTCCCAAAGGGATTATTTTAAACTATCCTCTCCTATGTTCATTAACAATTGAATATATATGGCTTTTCAACTCATGGGCTAGAATAAAAATAACAGCTTATTTATGATAGTTAAGACAATGAGAATGGATGAAACTGCCTAGAGAGAGAGAGAGAGAGCATAAAGTGAGAACAAAATTTGTTCTATAACACAATTGTGAGAAATGTCAAGATTTGAAAAGCAGATGGGGGAAGACAATACAGTAGAAAATAGTGAAGAGCAACAGTTATCTGAGTAGGTAAACCATAGCAATGTGTCATCAGAGTCCGCTGATGATAGATCTAAGCAGAGGGGAGATTGAAAGTCTAAAATGAGGCAAGTGCAGAGTCAACAAAAAAAGTTGCTGTCCTTAAGCATGTGTAAAAGCTAAAAGAAAGAAGGTAGTAAAGGTAAAGTTAAAAATCCATGTGAAAATGGAAACCGAGAATCCAGGGGTAAGAAATTTACTTTAATCAAAGTTATAACTTATCTAATAGTTACTAAATGCTACATCTTCTAGTTATATTGTCTGGTATGATTTTACCTTGATACTAGGAGAAAGAATTTAATCACTGTTTTACTGATTACTGTACAAAAACATCATCCTTAGGGCAATTAGAATGATCTGTGAAGCTACTCACACATCTACCATACCATCACTCCGTGCTAATTTATCTCCTATTGATCATGGAAAGTTTCCAGGAATCTTTTAATTTTATTCTGGTCTATGTTTTAGCATGATATTTTTAGAATACCTGTTATTTTTCTCATGTGTTGGTGTTTTTGTTAAGTAGGTTTTGGCTAAGATCAGTACCTGGTTTTATGCCTCACAAAACTAAAATATATATGAAAATTATGCAAATTAAATATTTTATTAAAGCATTTCAGAATAAACTCCTTTGTTTATAATTATAAACGCTTTCATTGTAATTGATTTCACAGTAACAAGTAAATACAACTTAAAACATCGAACAGGTAAAAACAGAATTTTAAGAATCTTCCAACAAGCAAAGATTCTAACGTTATATGCATTGATTTGATTAGTCATATTCATGAAGATCAATTAATATAACAAGGGAGAAAGGCACATTTACAAAGGAGGCACTTTAGTCCATATGCTTCAAAATGGAAACAGACAGTATCTTCAGGAGGACTGTTTCAAGGATTCTAAATACAGAACAAGATTTAATTTTTGTAAATGCTTAGATTCTAATTTTATCTAAAATATTATTTTAAACGACTATAATTTTGAAACTTCTTGTCCTTCTGGAGCTGAATCAATAGCCTTTTCTTCCCCTATCTGTAATGTGTAGGGACTTTATTTTTAAGGGTATGGGCAGAATTTTATTTGTATGAACTGAATTAGAAAGTGCAGGGGCTAAATAAAAATCCACTTCTAAGAACTGAGAGAGAAAGTGCAGAAGCTAATACTAATATACGGTATAATTGATTTTTAAGAAAGGAATATAAAGTCTATAATGGTTCCTTTTGTATTAATTATGTCACATTGTACGTTCAAATTATTTAATATCTTTCTTTTCCTAAGGTCCTTAGAATGTTAAACAGGTCTTTTATGGTTTATATTCTTAATGCTTTCAGCCTCATCTCTCATCAGGCCCTTTTGAACTCTATGCTTAGGCTGTACCAAACTATCTGCAGTTTTCCAAATGTCCCAGACCATTTCAAATCTCTATACATTTGCATATTTAAAGCCTGTATAAATATGAGCTTCTTCTTGTACCTGAAATGCCTTCTCTCCTTATCTACTTAGTCATCAATCACGTTAAACCTATTCTTTAGAGCCCTTTCTGAAATCTCTCTCCTTACACAAAATTGCCTCCTCTCTCCATTGTGCCCCAAGCAGATACTGATGCAGATTTCAAACTCGGTGTCTTTTATGTTCTATCACATTTGCTTAAGCCTCCTGCACTTGTAGTATCTTGAGTACTTTGAAGACAAGGATCATGACTGAGACACCTTAGCATCTCTCATATCTCTAGCACCTTGTATAGTGCTGAATACCATTAAACATATATGTGGAATAAAGAAGCGAGAAATAGACTTACTCAAATATGTTATATTAAGTGCTTTTTGACAAAGATACAAAACCAATTCAATGGAGAGAATATAGCCTATTCAACAAGTGGTGCTGGGGCAATTGGACTTGTATAGGCAAACAAACAAACAAACAAAAACAAAAAACAACCAGAATCCGAATGGAAACCTTACAACATATATAAAATTTAACTCCAAATGGATCATAGACTTACATAAAAATATAAATGTCATCAGGGAAATGCAAATGAAAATTACAACAAAATGTCGCTACACACTCATGAGAATGACAAAAATAATTTTAAAAGGGACAATACCACATACTGGCAAGAATGCAGAGAAACAGTATCACTCATAGATTGCTGATGGGAATGTAAATTTGTACAGACATTCTGGAAAACAGTTGGGCAGTTTCTCATATAAATAAATATGAAACTACCATAAGACTCAGCAATTGTATTCTTTGACATTTTCCCCAGAGGGGTGAAACTTGTTTACAAGTTTTCATAGCAGCTTTATTCATAATAACCCGAAACTGGAAAACCCACTTGTCCCTCAGTAGGTGAAAGGTTAAACAAACTGTAATGCATATGCACTATGGAATACTACAAAGAAATAAAAAGAAATGAGCTATTGATATGTATAACAACTTGGATGACTACGGGGAATTATGCTGTGTGAAGAAGGCCAATTATAACATCGTGGTGGATACAGGAACACATACATGTGATACAACCGTATAGAATACACACACACAATGACAACTGAAACTGGGAAAATCTGAATAAGATCAGATGACATTATCAATGTCAATATCCTAGTTGTACTACAGTTTTGCAAAAACTCAAAAAGGGTACATGGTGTCTTTCTGTGGTATTCTTATAATCGTATATGAATCTACAATTATCTCAATAAAATTGTCATTAAAAATATTAGTTGAATAACTTTCCTGGTTTTCTTCACACAAATATCCAGGAATTTAAGTATACTTTACAGGAGGAATAGGGAAAAGTATAGTTAGTACACCTCCCTGGAAGTGGAAAAATAAAGAAATTAACTTTTAGCTCTTCTAATTGGAGAAAGAAGCTTCTACCAAGAAAAATCAAAGGACAATATAATAAAATTCACAGAACTTATTAGATTAACCAAAAAAGAGTGTGTGTGTGTGTGTGTGTGTGTGCGCGTGTGTGTGTGTGTACAGTATTTGGGAGAATTCAAGTATTGACAAGTTTTTAAAACAATTTACCTGGTTATCTCATCAGATTTAGTAGATGGGTTCCTGAAAACATTAGTTGGGGGAAAAAAGCTGCAATTTTTTTAAGTAAAAACAGAATATTAATTACAAAAACTTTGTTCATATTTTATTTTATAATTCACACAATTCATAATTAATAATTCATAATTTAATTATAAAAGTTTATTTTGTAGTAATGAGAATATTTGGAATAATTGGATAATAATGGTAAAAAATCTTTTTTAAAAATTGTAACAAGCACATCAAATTTCCTCCTACACATTATAATTAAACTACAATATTAACCTTGTCCAAGGAAGGTTATATTTAGCCTAACACTTAACTGAATACATTTATGTAAAATTGTAAAAATACACTGTTTTACATATTCAAAGATTTCAGATGCATGTGTTTTAAATCAGTGAATATATTTTTGCCACAGGTACATTAGAATGTATCACTTAGAAAAAATTTGAAAAAACCATTATCTATGCTAATTGTTTCAGAAGGGGAATGTAATATATAAGTGGTTATACCCTTGAATTTCATATCTTTTTAAAGAATAAAAGTTATGATAAATTTGCATTGATTTTCACTGCAGACAAATACAACAAAGAATTTTCAAAAGCACTCTGTGGGATACTAATACAGATGTGTAAGTGCAAGATATCTAAGGGCCTTTTTTTTTTCTCCTCTAAAAGGATCCAGGTAGTTGTAGCCAACGCAGCTCTTTTTATTCAATATGATAATTTTAAAAATCTATATGACAGAGATTTCATTTTATCATTAAAGTAACAAAAGAAGGGAGCTTTAAAGATATATTTTAAATGCTTTTCTTTTATTTATTTGTGCATAATTTTTATGTTAGAGTTCCTGTTATTATTTTATAAAGCATCATTGTTGCCCTCAAGTAAATCTCAGAAAGATGTGTACGCTACCATATTCTGCAAGAGGGAGAGCTTCCTGGTGTGAGGGCTCTAAAATTTTGACTGTAGTTTAATTGAGTAAAGAAATATGAAGCTTTCCTCACAAAAAGTATATTTCATATTTTTACTATAAAATGCATAACCATGATTAAAATAATAATGTCGAAGGCCAGGAATGGAAGAGAAAATCAAATCAAAGCATGTGGGCTGAAGACCTGGAAGCCTAAATCAGGATGCCAAATCAGGAGCAGGCAATGGAAATCAGGACTTCGGATGCCTAAGAAAACAAGGCCTAGCATATCCTACAAGTAGTAGGAAATCTGCATGGCTTTTTTTTTTCTTCCTGTTACCAGGAAGCAACAAGCTGGTAGTGTCATTACAAAGGCGCCCACCAACCTATTCAGCCTATCCAGTGTGCAGCCAGATGCAAGGTACATAAAACCTAAAGACGGAAGTAGTGAGGATAGTCAATTTGCTCAGAATCTGCTTTACGCTTTCCCCAATCTCAGGAACCACGTGTATTATCTATCCAGGAGCCTGAAACTCCAAGATATTAATACAATATCAGTTCTGTTGTATATACTGAGCAGCCTAATACAGGGATGAAAAGAGAAGGAAAAATAAATTTTCAAGAAAGCTGAGCACAGTAAAAGTTACGAAATATCAGTGTAAATGTCATGAGAGGACCAACAAGCACTAAAGCCAAATCACCCACAGATTTGTGCATAAGAATTTAAAACAACAGAACCATGTTCCAAAGGTTTAAATACGTACACTTAAAATTATCAAAGATGAACAAAGGAGTAACACTCATAAAGTAATTAAAAGAAGTACCATGAACTGTGGGATATAAAAAGATCTACAGTTAACCCTTGAACAATGCAGGGGTTAGGGTGACTGACCCTTGTAGTTGAAAATCCACGTGTAACTTTTGACTCCCCTACGATGTAACTACTGATAAAAGACAAACTTCAGCTGAGTTAAATTTAAAGGCGTTTAATTGCGCACTGAACGATTCCAATCCAGCAGCACCCAGAATCACAGCAGATTCAATAAAGTAAATGAGATCACAGGGGCAATTAATGAACTGATGACCAGAAGTGAGGAATCACCCAAAGCAAAGAACAGAGCATTAGAGAGCTGAAATTTATGAAATTTTATGTTTAGTAAGAAAGTCCAAATCACCCTGTTTAAATATTCCATTTATTTTGTACAAGATCCATGATGAATAGTGTCCAAAAGTCCATCCTTAACACAGTTGTCCATAATCTTTTTAAGCCTGACATTGTACTTCTCTGATCAAAGCACTACAGTTTCACCCCAATAAAAAGCAAAGTTATAACATTCTATAATATCCATAAGATTGAGTAATCTCCCTTACCTTTTTGACTTCATCTTATACTTCTTTCCGTATACTTATCAAGCTCAAACCACTTTGGACTTCCTACCTCGGGATACTTTTTCCCAACAAGCTACATAGCTCATTTACTGCTTCAAGTCTTCCCTCAAATGTCATCCTTCTCCTAATTCCTTCAGTGACTACACTGCTTAAAGTGATAACCCACTCCTTTCCCATGCTTCACATTTCCAATCCCCTTCATCCTATGTATTATTTTTTGCAAGCACGTATAAACTGTGCTGGGTTACATTATCCTTTAAATGTTTTTAAATCCCCCTGCCTCCATGTGAGTATATGCTTTTCTGCCCTTGACTTTGTGTGTGGTAATATGAGAATTATTTCAGAATAAGCATGTATTTGGGACCATGTGATATGCTTCGGCCAATAGATGATGTTAACAGATGGAATTAAGCAGAAGTTTTAAATTTTTTGCACAGTGGAGCTTGTCTTTAGCTGCTGTGCAATCTCCATCCCAAGAATATGTACCTGAGAGCTTGTTGGTTTCAGGACCGTGGGAGACATGAGGAATGGATCTGGATGCGACTTGCAGATTGAAGCCAATCCCAGCTGAGCATAATGCAAATCAGTTGTCCCTCAGCTAACTCATGCACATAAACGAATTCAGGTGAGAGCATCAGAACCCCCGTTTAGACTCATAGACACATCAGAAGCAAAGGTTTAGTGTTGCCTGAGATTTGAGGATTAGGTATAATTATTGTGATGTCAGGTAACTTTACATCATATTTTACATATTATTATGTATTTTAGGTATTATTGATCTCACTTACCAGGATGCCTACACTACAAAGGCAGGATTTTTGGTTTTTTCATTTTGTTATAAATTGTGTATTCCAAGGACTTAGAATGGATGAAACATGAGACACTGTAGTTTCTCAGAAAATATTTGTTGATTTTTGTTGTTGTTGTTTCCTCTTTCATTTGTTTCTTACTTTTTTTTTTTTTTAATAGTGTCTCTCTATGTTGCCTAGGCTGGACTTGAGCTCCTGAGCTCAAGCAATCCTTCCACCTTAGTCTCCTGAGTAGCCAGAACTACAGGTATGCTACTGTATCTGACTTTGTTTTAAAGGGTTGGTTAATGGGTACAAAATACAGGTAGGTAGAAGAAGTAAGTCTAGTGTTCAGTAGCACAAGAGGGTGACTATAATTAATTATAATTTTTGTATATTTCTAAATAACTTCAAGAGTGAAACTGTAATGTTTCTAACACAAAGAAATGATAAATGTTTAAGGTGACAGATATCCCAATTACTCTAATTTGGTCATTACACATTGTATGCTTACATCAAAATATCACATATGCCCTATACATACGTACAAATATTATGTATCCATAAAAATTACCAATTAATTTCTTAAATTTGTTATATGTATTAAAGATTATTTGAATGTCTGTATCCCGTCATATTAAATTATTCTAAGATGAGTATTTAATATAAAAAATAGATTCTATTTTTAAATTCTACCAATAAGCCATTTGAAATTTAAATCTAAAATTTAAAATTGTATCAAACATTACGATAATTAGGTATATATATATATAAAACAAAATGTGTCCAAAATGTATATACTAAATACTGAAAATAATCTAGGTAATTTTAAATCTATCTTTTTTTTAATTATACTTTAAGTTTTAGGTTACTGTGCACAACGTGCAGGTTAGTTACATATGTATACTAAATTTATCTTAAATAAATTTTTAATATAGAGATTTTGAGCAACTTTTATCAAATTTAGCCCAAGGATATGTTGTTTTTGAGGTTACTGGAATGTTATTGTTTTAATAATGTTTATATTCTGCATATTGCTTATATGTGGGGATATAATATTTTTTCTATTTTGAGTTTGTATACAGCGAACATACATTTAATTCAAATTAACAGTCCATAATTGCTTTGAATTTGGGGGGCAAATACATTGTTTTATATCTTTATTTCTAATGATCTACATTATTTTTCCCTAACATCATTCTGTCTACAATCTTCAGTATGATGTCAAACAAGAGAATTATTATTTTTAGGCCTAATTTTCTCCTTTCATATATTAATGAGAAGGTTTCAGTAATTCAGCATTAAGTCCAGTGTTTGCTGTAAATTCTTTGTAGATAATGTTTATCATGTTAAAGTTGATCTTTTATCATTCTAATTGGCTAAGGGCTTAAAATGAATGTATTGAACTTTATCAAATGCTTTCTCTGTCTCTTCATGTGGTCATATGATATTTTTTTTCTCTAAAATGTTGAGTTACAGTATTAAAACATCTATTATAGAACATACTTGCATTTCTGTAATAAAATCCTTCTGTCATAATAATTATATGTATGTATGTACACATGTACACATATGATCTTCATATAATAAAATTGTTGGCTGAATTAATTTACTGTTATTTTTTAGAACTTTTGCATCTATGTTTATTAGTGCAATTTGCTTGTAAATTTTTTTTGTGAGGGTTAGGTTTCTAGATCACGCTGACTTCATAGAATAACTTGGAGAGGTTTTATTTCCCTGTCTGTGTGTGTGCGTTTTCCTTTTTTTTTCTTTTTTTTGAGAGAAGGGGAAGTCTTTACAGTATTTCTTTCTGAAATTTTAAAGAATTTTATCACAAAATGCATTTTGGCCTTGAGTTTTCTGTGCCGGGTTATTTTTTAAAATCATCTTTATGAAGATATAATTTACATATAATAAAATAGACCCATTTTAATTATGCATTTAATGACTTTTGGACAAATGTATACACCTATTTTATCACCACAAAATTAATGTATACAATATTTCCGTCAGCCTAAAAATGTTTCTCTCCATCCCTTGCCATATGATGAACAAAACAAGCCAGTTGCCAATGAACAGATACAGTATAAACCCATTCATTGGAAATTCCCAAATAGTCAAAACATAATCAAGTATCAGGAAAAAGTAATTTAATGGTTGCCTGGGTCAGTGTAGAGAAATTGACTGTTATAATATTTTTAATGATGATTTCAATTTAGAAAATATCCCCAACTACCCAATGCTAAAAAAGAACACCAAATAAAATTTGACTATATTTTTAATGAACAACTTTCATGTTTATATTATACATACAATGTGAGTATGGTTACATAAATTATTAGATACCTGAGTTTTGTTTCAAGCACTGTACTAGGCCCTCTATGACATTATCACTCTTACTTCTCAAAGTAATTATACAAGATTCATGGTATGATTTTCCCAATAATGCCTGTAATGTAACTGAGGGTCGTTTAAATATCTTCTGTTAGATCATCCATCTGGTAAGTTGCAGGACAGTGACTAACACATAAGACTATGCTATTTATTATAATTTTACATGTTTACAGTAAAGTCATATCGTATTTGTTTGTTCTCATGCTACTAATGAAGACGTACCCAAGACTGGGTAATTTATAAATAAAAGAGGTTTAATGGACTCACAGTTCCATATGGCTGGGGAAACCCTCACAATCATGGTGGAAGATGAAGGAAGAGCAAAGGGACTTCTTACATGGCGGCGGGTAAGAGAGCATGTGCAGGGGATCTCCCCTTTATAAAACCATCAGCTCTCATAAGGCTTATTCACTATCCCGAGAATAGCATGGGAAAAACCTACCCCCCATGATTCAATTACCTCCCACTGGGCCCCCCTCCCATGACCCATGGGAATTATGGGAGCTACAATTCAAGATGAGATTTGGGTGGGGACACAGCCAAACCATATTATCCTGCACCTGGCCCCTCAAAAATCTAATATCCTCACATTTCAAAACCAATCATGCCTTCCCAATAGTCCCTCAAAGTCTCAATTCATTTCAGCATTAACCCAAAAGTCTAGAGTCCAAAGTCTCATCTGTGACAAGACAAATCCTTTCCACTTATGAGCCTGTAAAATCAAAAGCAAGTTAGTTACTTCCTAGACACAATGGGGATTCAGGCATTGGGTAAATACAGCCATTCCGAATGGGAGAAATTGGCCAAAACAAAGGGGCTACAGGCCCCATGCAAGTCTGGAAACCAGTGGGGCAGTCAAATCTTAAAGCTCCAAAATGATCTCCTTTGACTCCACATCTCACATCCATTGTGTGCTGATGCAAGAGGTGGGCTCCCACGGTCTTGGGCAGCTCCACCCCTGTGGTTTGCAGGGTACAGCACCTCACCTGTCTGCTTTCAATGGTGGTCATCTTCTTACAGCTCCACTAGGCAGTGCTCCAGTTGGAACTCTGTGTGGGGACTCTGACCCAACCACATTTTTCTTCTGCACTGCCCTGGCAGAGGTTCTCCATGAGAACTCTGCTTCTGCAGCAGACTTCTGCCTGGACATCCAGGCATTTCCATACACCCTCTGAAATCTAGGTGGAGGTCCCCAAACCTCAATTCTTGACTTCTGTGCACCCACAGGTTCAACACCACATGGAAGCTGCCAAGACTAGGGGCTTGCACCCTTTAAATCCATGGCTCAAGCTGTACCTTGGCCCCTTTTAGCCATGACTGGAGTGGCTGAGATGCAGGGCACCAAGTCCCTAGGCTGCACACAGCAAGGGGGCTCTGGACCTGGCCCAAGAAACCATTTTTACCTCTTAGGTGTCCAGACTCATGAAGGGAGGGGCTGCTGTGAAAATTTCTGACGTATCCTGGAGACATGTTCCCCATTTTCTTGGTGATTACATTTGGCTCCTTGTTACTTATGCAAATTTCTGCAGTTGGCTTGCATTTCTCCCTAGAAAATGGGTTTTTCTTTTCTATTGCATTTTTAGGCTGCAAATTTTCCAAACTTTTACCCTCTGCTTCCTCTTGAATTATTTTCCACTTAGAAATTTCTTCCGCCAATACCCTACCTCTCTCAAGTTCAGAGTTCCATAGATCTCTAGGGCAGGGCCAAAATGATGCCAGTCTCTTTGTATAGCAAGAGTGATATTTACTCCAGTTCCCGAAAAACTCCTCATCTCCATCTGAGACCACCTCAGCCTGAATTTTATTGTTCATATCACTATCAGCATTTTGGTCAAAGCCGTTCAATAAGTCTCTAGGAAGTTCCAAACTTTCCCACATCTTCCTGTTTTCTGTGTCCTCCAAGTCTCTAGGAAGTTCCAAAGTTTCCCACATTTTCCTGTCTTCTTCTGAGCCCTCTAAACTGTTCCAACCTCTGCCTGTTACCAGGTTCCAAAGTTGCTCCCACATTTTCGGGTGTCTTTACAGCAGTGCTCCACTACACGGTACAAATTTACTATATTAGTTCATTCTCATGCTGCTAATAAAGACACACCCAAGACTCAGTGATTTCTAAAGGAAAGAGGTTTAGTGGGCTCACAGTTCCACATGCCTGAGTAAGCCTCACAATCATGGTGGAAGATGAAGGAAGAGCAAAGTCACTTCTTACATGGCAAGGGGCAAGAGAGCTTGTGCAGGGGAACTCCCCTTTATAAAACCATCAGATCTTGTGAGACTTATTCACTATCACAAGAAGAGCATGAGAAAAGCCTGCCCTCATGATTCAATTACCACCCACCAGGTCCCTCCCACAACATGTGGGGATTATGGGAGCAACAATTCAAGATGAGATTTGGGTGGGGACATGGCCAAACCATATCACATATAAAGGTATGTATTATCTCTTGATAGCATCTGTCAGCATTTCTCTTTGAGTAGGGTCCATTTTGTCCAGGAATATATTCTCATTAGATAATTCCATTGACTTTCTAGAGTGAGCATCTAAGAATATGTACTAAATTACAAGACAAATGTCATGTGTGAATTCATGTCTGTGTGTGCATGATAAAGAGTGGGAGAAAAACAAGAGAGAGTAAAAAAGAAGGAAGGAGAAGCAGAACACTAGAGGGAATGGAAAGATGCTAAGAGGGAAGTATTTACACCATTCTGAGGCATGGTATAGGACTAGGACCCAAACTTGGACAGGGATCTGTGAGCTGGCAGCAAGGCTATGGCCAGGCTAACAGATTAAGTCTGTCTGGCTTATTCCTCTCTGCCTTCTCATAGCAGTAACTGGTTAATAACTTGATCTAATGAACAATGCCTGTACAGAAGGAAATTGTAGCTATTATTGTAGAAATTCTTCTAACCTGACCCAGGCAAGTGGCTCAAGGCAGGCACCCGGGAAAGGTCCCTGGCCATGCTGATAACTCAAAACATATGCCTGACTTAGCAACTGAATTCATTGGAATTTAATTACTCAACATGATTGTATACTGACAGCAAACTCATTATTGGAAGGATTGATTATTACTATGCAAACATTTTTATTATTCATTTATTGAAAACTTGGGCATACTTCCCAGACTAGAATTGCATCTTCCACTTCTTTTCACTTCATTACCTTTTTAGTTGAATATGTTTAACTTTCCGAGGTGGTTATTTTGACTCATGTCATACTTTAATATAATTAAGCCATTAAAACTTATTCAGGAAACTGATGTTTTCTCAAATTAAAAAAAAAAATAAGCACTGTGATATAAAACACAGGATAGTCCTGTCAGTTCTTCTCTGACAACTCAGCTCAGTCATTTGCTTTTTGGCTCAAAGATCTTTATACGAACTGGCTTGTTATCTTATTTCTTAAGGCAGACTCGAAAGGCAGTAATTTGGTATAATAAATTAGCTGTTAAAATGTGAGGCATAGGCCTTGATATAAAAATTTAGTGAGTAAATGAGGAGGTGATTGAAATGGCTGTAGGTTGCCTTATTTATCTAGTGTTTTAAGCTTGAGATGGCATTGACCTTATTACTCATTTTCTTTTTTTTTTTTTTTTTTGAGATGGAGTCTTGCTCTGTTGCCCTGGCTGGAGTGCAGTGGCACGATCTCTGCTCACTGCAAGCTCCGCCTCCTGGGTTCATGCCATTCTCCTGCCTCAGCCTCCCGAGTAGCTGTCTCTACAGGCGCCCGCCACCATGCCCGGCTAATTTTCTGTATTTTTAGTAGAGACGGGGTTTCTCCGTGTTAGCCAGGATGGTCTCGATCTCCACCTCATGATCCGCCCACCTCGGTCTCCCAAAGTGCTGGGATTACAGGGGTGAGCCACTGCTCCCGGCCACTCATTTTCTTAAAATAATAGTCTTTGCCTTCAAGAAAACATCAATAAGTGCCTTCAAACAAAAATCCATTAAACTCTCATAAACATTTCGTATCATTTTATGTTTTCATGAATATATGCAGAAAAAAATTTCTTTTACTATTAAATTGCTGCACAAATAATTGCAGTTTTTCCCAATTTTTTAGGCAAAACCAGCTATTATTTTTGCACCAGCCTAATAATAAACTTCTTATTTAAGCATCATTCATTCCTAACAGTGAGTTCACAATGCAAGTTTCAGGCAGGTATTTTAGTTGAAAAGTAAGGTGTCTTCAAATAATATAAAAAAGATTGATTCTCCACCATTCCATAGATCACTGTCTGTTTTTTGCACACCTATGGTTCAGGAGGATATTTGGAAAGTTTAAAATTCTTGGAGTTTGATGAACACTTAAGATTCATGGATGATTAAATCTTTCTTTATCTTACATATCTCTGTATTATCATTTTTGAGGAGTCACCACTCCCTGGACAAGCCTGGATGGTGATTTTGGAACTTGATTCTAAAGATATTTCAGATTTCAATATTTCAACAGCATTGGAAGCTATTGTGATAAAATAGTTCATGCCTCTTACATGTTTACTTTTTATGAAAAGTAACAAGGACATTGTGTTTTCCAATCAGGATAGGAGAAACAAAATAAATAAACAAACACCATATATAGTTGTGGAGGTGCAAGCTTGAAACGCCTTTGATTCTTAGAGATCCTTTCATGTTTATTTCAGAGAAACTTGCAAACTGTGAATGTTATTTAAGCTAAATCCAAAAAAATAGTTTGGATTCTGGCATATATAAAACAGCCCCTCAGAATATTCCTTTCTTTTTCCAATATCACTCCGAAGCCTGATAGAGATTGAACATTGGTAAGAAGACATATCACAACCCTGAAATGATGCAATTTAAAATATAGTTATCAGATTTGTAGAAATCTACTGTCGGGACCTCAGCCTATAAGATAGACTATAGAAAGGTATACACACACTTGTGGAAGACGAATATAGCCTAAAAGAGAGACAGAGAAAAAAGGGCAGATGCAATAACTGAAAATAGCTTCTGCAAAAATGACAAAAAAAATATGAAGCCACAACTACAAAAGTTCTATGAACCACATGGGGAGAAAAAAAATGAAAAAACAAATCTCCATTTAGTTACATAAAAGTAAAATTACTGAAAAATAAAGGGTTTAACTTAAAACATGGTCATAGAAAACAGACAAACCTATAGAGACACATAATAGGGTATTCCTAAAAACGAGGAGGGCAGGCTTTGGGTAATGGAGAGTGACTGTAAGTGGATATAGGAATTTTCTTACCAGGGGACAAAAGTCTTTGAAAATTACATTGTGGTAATGTTCACACAATCCTTGGAAAATACTAAATCATTGTATTAAATGCTTTAAAATGTTGAACTGTGTGGATGGTATGGGAATTGTATCTCCGCACCCGGCCATATCTCAAGAACTCTTAAAATTTGTAACAGAAACAGTAGAAGCTTAATTCACAATGACCAAGGGGGTGTTACCATAAACACATTGACACACACATATACACACACACACCACAAACACACACACACATACCTTTTTTCTTTCTCTCTCTCTCTTTTTTTTTTTTTTTTTTTTTTTTTGAGACAGAGTCTCACTCTATCACCCACGGTGGAATGCAGTGGTGATCTCGGCTCACTGCAACCTTCCTCTCCTGGGTTCAAGCAATTCTCCTAACTCAGCCTCCCAAGTAGCTGGGAATACAGGTGTGTACCACCTCACTAGGCTAATTTTTGTATTTTTAGTAGAGACGGGGTTTGTCCATGTTGGCCAGGCTGGTCTCGAACTCCAGACCTCAGGCGAATCACGCACCTTGGCTTCCCAAAGTGCTGGGATTACAGGCATGAGCCACCATGCCCAGTCTGCTATTTGTTTTTTAATGGTTAAATTTTTTAAAATATACACATCTGCAAACAGTTGCCAGGTTGACAACTATCACAAATATGTTTGCAGGCATTTCCATATGCCAAAAGCGATTTGCTTAAAAACAAAGGTGCTGGAGCAGCAGTGATAACAACATCTTATATTGCTAACAATGATATAGATCTTTGATATTAAAGCAAGGGGGTGAAGACAATTCACGGGAAACAAAGGAAGACATTACGTATTCCCATAGCAATACACAATGAGATAAGAACAGGTGGAAGGAAATATTAGAGTGAATAAAGGAAGGGAAGAAAGAAATAAAACAAAACACAGAGTGAAGAAAGTCAACTTTTACTGGCATGGTACTAATATGTCACTATGTAGTAGCAGTGTCAAGGATAGGTGAAACACTTCCAACACCTGCATTAAGTTAAGGCCCTGCTAAGCAAGTTGAAATGTAAAACTACAAGGTCCTCAGAGTATTGTGAGCATGTTTATGGTGCATTAGCACCACATTGTTTAGCACAGGTGTTCCAGTAATTGTGGAATACTGGGAAAATGCACAGCGTTCCATTCATCTTCATCATATCCCAAGGTGATACAACAATAGCAATTTAGCACCTGCTAGAGCAATTTGGCATCTGTGGTATTTACCAAAGTGTTTGATCTTAAAGGTTGGAAGTGTTATTTTGTACTTCCATACGTGCTGGGGAATTATCAAGCACTTGGCAATACCAAATGCATTGTAAAACTCTTAGTGAAAGTTATAAAAGCAAACTTAATGAAATGTAGTGAATAAAAATTTTATAAAAGTGGCAGATTAGATTATTTTTACACGCCTTCTCTCCATCAAGAAGAGCATTTTCTCTGACCACCAGGGAGAACTTGCTTGACAATATAACTTAAATGTTTACAAAGAAAGAAACGACGTGGAATATAATTGTCCTAATATTTTCTGAAATGGACTTTTTAACTGTGCTGCTGACTGCAGAGCATCAAATATATTAGGATAAATAGTTCTTTCTCTTCTATATTTCAAACTGATTTTGAAATATGAGCAAGTTAGCAATTGCCAAGAAAAGATAACCAAATGTTTCTCATCTGAAAAAAAAAAGTTGGACATAGATGGTAGATAAAGCTAGCTAGCTTGCCAGATAGATAGATAGATAGATAGATAGATAGATAGATAGATATCAATGAAATGTCTTTGTCTTAAAATCTTACTAACATGGGAACAAGGCCATTGAGAAGTAGACCCATTAAGGAACAAACAAGGAATGAAAGGTTCTACATTTTTTTCACAAACTGTTTAAGATGACTGTGATGGTTAATACTGAGTGTCAACTTGATTGGATTCAGGGATACAAAGTATTGATCATAGGTGTGTCTGTGTGGGTGTTGCCAAAAGAGATTAATATTTGAGTCAGTGTGCTGGGGAAGGCAGATCCACCCTTAATCAGGTGGGTACAATATAATCAGTTTCCAGTGAATATAAATCAGGCAGAAAAATGTGAAAAGGAGAGACAGGCCTTCCTGCCCTCGAACATAGGACACCAAGTTCTTCAGTTTTGGGACTCAGACTGGCTCTCCTTGCTCCTCAGCTTGCAGACAGCCTATTGTGGGACCTTGTGATCATGTAAGTTAATACTTAATAAACTCCCCTTTATACATATATACACACACACACATATATATATATACATATATATATACACACACACATATATATATACACATATATATATCCTATTAATTCTGTCTAAAAGAACCCCGACTAATACAATGACTAATCTAATATTTGGCATAGAGAGTCTTAGATTTAAAATATCTCCTATGGATATAGACAGTAAAATCTAAGTATAGAAAATAGAGAAAAAATTAAGAAAATTATTCTAAAGGAAGAATTAGAAAAAAATTAAATATTAGAAAACACTGGTAAGATAAATAAAAATGTGAATCAGGCATATTTTATATCCAGCAGTTCCTGGTAACATTTTAACGAAAAGATGATAATGTATTTATATGCTTTTCTCTACCTTAAAACAACAATAATGCTTCATTTTTATATTTTTACAGATTTAGGAAATATAAGCACAATTTTGTTATATGGATATACTGGGTACTAGTGAAGTCTGGGCTTGTAGTTTAACACCTAAATAGTGTACATTGTACCTATTAGGTAATTTCTCATCCTTCACTCCTCTCCCACTCTTCTACCTTTTGAGGTCTCCAATGTTCATAATTCCACATAATGTATACACATTATTTAGCTCCCCCTTATAAGTGATATAATGTAACATTTGACTTTGTTTTTGAGTTATATCACTTAAGATAATAGCTTCCAGTTCCATCCATGTTTCTGCAAAAGACATGATATTATTATTTTTATGGCTGACTAGTATTTTATATATATGTGTGTGTATATATATAAAATAAAATATGTATATATATTATATAGATAATAAAAAATATATATTATATATAATATTTTCTTTATCCAATCATCTGTTGGTGGACACTTAGGTTGATTCCATATGTTTGTTACTGTGAATAGTGCTGTGATAAATATACAAATGCAAATATCTTTTTGATATAATAATTTCTTTCCCTTTGGATAGATATCCAGTGGTAGGATTGTTGGATCAAATGCTGGTTCTACTTTAAATTCTTTGAGAAATCTCCATACTGTTTTTCATAAGGTTTATACTAATTTACATTACCACCAACAGTGTAAAAGTTTTCCCATTTTTCTGCATTCTTGCCAATATCTGTTTTTTTTGTTTTGTTTTTTTTGTTTTTTTTTTTTGAGTAATAACCACTTTGTCAGATGTAAGGTTGTATCTCATTACACTTAATTTGCATTTCTCTGGTGATTAGTGATGGTGAACATTTTTTCATATGCCTCTTTGCCTTTTGATTGCCATTTGTATGTCTTCTTTCGAAAAATCTCTCTCCATGTCTTTTACTCACTTTTTATTGGGGTTGTTTTACTCTTGTTGAGTTTTGTTTGAGTTCCTTGTAAATTCTCGATATTAGTCCTTTGTTGGATACATAGCTTGCAAGTATTTTCTCCCATTCTGTAGGTTGTCTATTCACTCTGTTAAAACACAATAGTTTAGAGCAATTATGTGCCAAATTCATGACTTGTCTAGCAATTACTGCTTCTCCCCCCAGAAAGAATTGAAGAACACTATCAAGGGAAAATACCCTCCACATTGTATTCAAGATTAAGATATAGTTGTTGTTTGATAAATATTTGTAAAACAAGCTTGTTTCTTGAAAATTATATAGATGTTGAAGGTATAATAGGTACATCTGTTTTTGTCAGAGGTACAGGAAAATGCTCTAGAACTTTTAAAACTGAATACACCAAACAACATGTTCAGTAAATATTAAGCAAAATTTGTCAGAAATACAAAGAATTCTTAACTAAAAAATACTTATGCTAGAACATGTCAACTCCCTGTATGAGAGAGTAAACAGTCTTTATCAGGCTCATGGAAAATTTATTTAAAATGTTAAAAGTATATCTAAGAAAAATATAAACATATTTAATAAAGATATACATACAGACAGCAGTCTCTGATTGTAATGTTATTCCTGTTTAATCTTTTGGTCAAAGTGTAAATCAAAACCCAAAACTTTATACTACTGGAAAAGTAATGAAAAAGGAGAACTAATTCTGTTGGGCATAGTAAAAGCTATCCTCAGAGGAACATTTATAGCCATAACATTTCCATTATTAAAGGCATGTATAAGTAAATAAATAAATGTAAGTTATATTAATTTTTCTGGATAATGTGCTATAGATTATATGATAATATTCCCAATTTCTTTGACCTTTACAACAATTTTGTATATTTGAGTAGATAGCAAGATGCATCAGCAGAAGACCAAAATGAGCTACTGAAAATTGACACGTAATCAACCACAAAACAAAGTGATTATCTTAAAGGATAAAGAGAATGTGAACCACAAACATCTGAGATAGGTTTGAGTCAATTTAGGAAGTTTATGTTGCCAAAGTTAAGGACGCATGCCCATGGCAGCCTCAGGAAGTTCTGATGACATATGCCCAAGGTAGTTGGGTCACAGCTTGGTTTTACACATTTTAGGGAGACATGAGACATCAATCAATCAATATATGTAAGATAAACGTTGGTTTGGTCCGGAAAGGCAGGACAACTCAAGCAAAGGCGGGACAGCTGGAGGCTGGGAGGGGACTATCAGGTCATTGGTACATAAAAAACAAACAGTTGTATTCTTTTGAGTTTCTGATTAGCCTTTCCAAAGGAGGCAATCAGATATGCTGCTGTCTCAGTGAGCAGAGAGATGACTTTGAATAGAATGGGAAGCAGGTTTGCCCTAAGCAGTTCTCAGTTTGACTTTTCCCTTTAGCTTACGGATTTTGGTGTCCCAATATTGATTTTCCTTTCACAAGGGATACTATATAATAAAAAGAGGCCAACTTATGAAAAGACAAACCATTTCTAAATATAGCCACGTTTAGCAGGAGTGATAGAAAGCTCTTAGCAATCTAAAAACAGAAGCAGTGATGTGCTAGAACTAGCCCAAGACAGTTGATTGTTAAATTGTTAGATATTTCAATTAATGTAACAATGAAAGCTTTGTATAGCGTTCATTGGGAATATTTACACCGTGAAACTCATAAATGCCACAAACCAGTATCTCATCTCTATTCCCAGACAACTGGTTGTTAAATATTCACATCACTCAATAAAAGGGAACACACTCAACCCAATAAAAGGGAACACACTCAGTCCAATAAAAGGCATCTACGAAAATCTGCAGCTATCATTATAAGAAATTATCAAAAGCTCGTCTTTCAAAATTAGGGAAAAACGTATACTCAAGACACCTTGGTATTGATATAAATATAGACTTATAGATCACATAGAACAAAGCAGTTACTTCAAAATGGATTACTGACAACAACACTGAATCTGACAGAAAATAAAGTCTTTAAGCAGTGGTGTTGGAACAAATGGATGTCCATATGTTACAAAAATGAATACAATGAAACACAATGCTCATCTTATTCTGAAAACAAAAAGTAACTTGAAATAAGACTTATAGAAAATTATAGAACACTCAATATTGGTTCAAGGTGACAAAAAGTAGACCTGTGGTATGCTGTTTCTAGGGACAGAAGGGGATTTACTGCAAAGGGACATGAGGAACGTTTTTATGCTGGTCACAAATTTTTGTAATTTGGATAGTAAGTTGGTTACATGATTGTTTAAAATGATCAATGAGACTATACAATTGCTGTGAGTGTATTTTATGGTATGTAATTTAGACCTTATGAAAATTGAGTTTTTAAATTATCAAGGAAGACCTTTTTTTCTGGTTATGATTAAATAATTTGTGACAGACCAACCTTTCCTCTAAATATCTAAACATCCATACACAAAAAGTACATTTTATGATTTCATTCTTTTAATACTCTAGAAAAAGACAAAACTATAGTGACAGAGAGCAGATCAGAGATTGCCTGGTGTCAAGCATATTAGTGAAGACATTGCCTAGGAAGGAGTGCAAGAAAACAAGACAAACATATGACTAAAAAAAAAAAAAATTGAAATGTTGACCATGGGTTTGTTATAGATGGCTTTTATTACTTTGATCTATGTTCCTTTTTTGCCTAGTTGTTGGGTGTTTTGTTTTTTGTGTGAAAGTATGCTGGATTTTTTCAAAAGCTTTTTCTGCATGTATCAAGATAATTATATGACTTTTGTTTTTAATTTTGTTTATGTGATGAATCATATTTATTGATTTGCACTTGTTGAACCATCTTTGCATTCCTGGAATGAGACCCACTTGATTATGGCATATTACCTTGGTGATGTGCAGTTGGATTCAGTTGGCTAGTATTTTATTGAGCATTTTTGCATCTCTGCTCATCAGGAATATTGGTCTGCAGGTCTGTAGTTCTTTTTTAATTTTGTCGTTGTCTGGCTTAGGTATCAGGGTGATACTGCCTTCGTAGAATGAGTTAGGAAGTACTCCCTCCTTGATTTTTTGGAAGAGCTTTAGGATGATTGATACCAGTTCTTTGTATGTTTTGTAGAATTTGGCTGTGAATTCATCTGGTCCTAGGCTCTTTTTATTACTATTATTATCACTGATTCAATCTTACTACTTAGAAATAACAATTGATATTTCTTCCTGGTTCAAACTTAGGAGATTTTATGTTTCCAGGAATTTGTTAATTTAATCTAGGTTCTTTAGTTAGTATAATTGTTCATAGTAGTTTCTGATGATCTTTGGTATTTCTATGGTATGAGTTGTAATGTCTCCATTTTCATGTCTAATTATGTTTATTGGTATCTTCTCTCTTCTTGGTTACCCTAACTAGTGGTCTATTAATTTTTTTTATCTTTTCAAAGAACCAACATTTCATTTCATTGATTCTTTGTATTTGATGTGTTCATCTTCAATGAAAATATACTAGGAATCAACATCTAAAAGACAACTAGAAGATCTTCATATATTCGACAAACTAAGAATATAATTCTAAGTAGCCTATGGGCTAATTATTTTAACTAAATATTGCTTATCAAACTTTTTAATTCAGTTAAAATAGCACAGAAAAGAAAATATGTAGCTTAATATGCATATATTATAAAAATACTTAAAATTAACAGGCTAAGTATCTACCTCAGATAACAGATAACAGGCTAAGTAACACCAGAGATGTTAGAAAAAGAATGAAAAGATACAACAAAATAAATTAGAATGTATACAATATGAGTATGAGAAGAAGCTCCTAAAAAAACACAAAGACTTGATATAGTCAAAAGTTGATCCTTTTACAATTCTAGTAAAATATATAAATCTCTGGCAAGTTGGATAGAAAAAAAAAAGAGTAAAGACAAACAAGAGTAACAAATATGTGTAATAAAATAGAAGACTGATTCAGATTCCGAAGACATTAAAATGTTTTGGAGTATATTGTGAACAATGTTTTGTTTATGAATTCAAAATATAAATGAAATATATACATTTTTAGAAAAAAAATATTTTTTTAAATTGAAGGAATCATAGAGATTTGAAAACACCTGTAACAATAAAGAAATTTGATTATTGAACAAATATTTTCATAAACAAAATTTTAGGCTCAGATGACTTCACTAGCAAGTTCTACCGAAATTCTAAACTTTTACAAACTATTCTAGAGAAGTAATTAAAAGGAAGCTTGGCCATTATCATCATTCCTATTTAATATTTTAATGGTCCTAGATAGTAGATTCAGGTTAGAGGGAGAAAAAGCCAGTAAGGACAGTGCAAGAAATAAAGATCCCAAGACAATAATTAAATGTAATTATAAAATAACAACTAAAATAGTATTAATTCAAATCTAAAGTATATAAAAAGATAAACATCATGTGTAGGATTGGTTTATAACTAGAACATTATTATTTAAACCTAAGAAAGTCAGTCAATACAAGTCACCATACTCATAGCATATAATGAAAATTTTAAGTAAAATTTTAAGATCTGAATATATGCAAAAGGAGTAGTTGCTGTAATATAACATTCATTCATAATTTAAAAAGTAAAGCATTGTAGATAAGGAATTAATCTAGCAAACACCATGTTTTCTGTTTTTTACCTGCCTTGCTATTTATTTTATATTATCCTTTTGATTAATTTATAAACTTTATAGTTTGTTTTGTACACAGTCATGGTATCACAGTTAAAAAGAAAACATGGATGTGCTTGATTTTATCTGGCATTTGTTTCTAAAAAAAAGTTTATAAAATTATAAGCATGGAAAATTTGGAAGATTATTATGCTTAATTCAGATATATTCACTGCATTTGACTGCAACATTGTCAGTATAAATTTTGAATAACAACATGCTTTGTGTTTTCATTTCATGTTGTGAAGAAATGAGGCATGACCATTACCATCATTTCTATTTAATATTTAATATTTTAATTGCCATAGGAAGTAAATTAAGATTAGCAAAAGCAAAAAAACCCTGATATTAAGCATTGAAAAGAAAAAGGCAAAGCTGCAAGTTTTCAGAGACGATGTGACTGAATAAAAGAATTTTTCAAAATCCTATGATTCAATTATAATATTAGACAGTTTAGCAAGATTGCTATGTATATTATCAGTATAAAAACATTCTTATTTCTTCAGACAGCAGAAGAAGCATGATGCTGGCATATGCTTGTGGTAAGGACCACAGGGAGCTTACAGTCATGGTAAAAGCTGATGGGGAATCAGGCATCTCACATGGTGAGAGTGGGTGCATGAATAAACCATTTTCAAACTTACCATTTACAATTTTATATATCTATATATAACATATATAGATATTTGTAATTATATATAACATAATAGATAAAATACATAATAAAATCTAAGTTACATTTTAATCACAACAGAAAATCATAAGCATCTGTATTTTTCATAATTTTCTTCATGTTTACCTACACAACAAACACACACAAATACAGAATGATTTTGACACGGTTAATATTACAAGGTGAAATTATATACAGACTTCTATATATCTTAAATATCTGCAGCAATATCTCATGGAAAACACAAATCATTCTATGGCAACTGGAATAAATATAAAATATTATTTTTTCATATCTACCTTTCCAAACAAATGGTTACATCATAATTTAATTATTTCTTATATAGAAGAATATTTTCTAACTTATATGAATTTTTTATCATTTAAAAAATACTGCAAAAACAGCCTCACTGCTATATCCTATACGTGTGTGTGTGTATGTATAAATATTTTATCCATAATATGTTTAATCAATAAAAAGCAAATGAGCTCAACACAAATATATGTGAATATATTTTTGCATATATTTATATGAAAACAAGAAACAAGTATGTATGCAAAAATACAAAACAGGCTATCAAAAGTTGGGTACAAGAAGCATCTAAGCTTGTAAGTCATTCAGATAGGGAATAAATAAATTTACTTTTACATGCATTTATATATGCTTATCTATGCATATAGGAATAAAACATACATAGTAATATCTGTGTATGTAGGCAGTCCTGTATATTACTATAGAGCGGGACCATAAAAATAACCGTAAAAACTTAAGTCATGTAAAGGGATCTTGATAATCAATGAGAAAAATTATAATTGTTTCGTGGTCTTTAAAAATTATTTTCCAAGACATTAAAAACACTCTTATTGGTAGTTATGAATATATATGAAAATTAAAAATTAGTGCAACTGACATTTATTTTATACAATGTTAATTAAAACATTAGAAACATTTATGAATTATTTCCTTATTAAAACTGATTAAGAATAGTTTGAAGAGCTCTTGTTTTCTTCTCATTGTTTAACTTGTGATAAGAAGTGAATATCTTTATATACTTTGGTGAATTATGGTATCCTTTTATAATTTGGATCAACTTCCAACATGTTATTCTTTGCACTTTAAATGTGATTTGATATCTCCAAGAATGATTCTAATGTGAAATTTTCTGTTGATATGACTTCTTCTGTAACATCTTTATCCTTTTCCACATATGCACTTTCTCATTTATATGTTCCACTAGATTTATTTAGCAACATATCCACAGTGTCTTAAACTATGGGAGTGTCAATATTTCCGTGGTTTCCTATTTCATCAATTAACTCTACTTACATCAATTCCAATTTTACTTCTGGTGTTATCACTTTTTGTTTTATTGCTGTGCTTGTATCCTTGTTGGCTAATTTCCTGTTTGGAGTAACTTCTTATAAAATGTCATGTGACCTTATTACTGGATGCAAAAAGGCAGCATGACTATGTGGTTTGCTGCTGTTGTGTGAACTGAATAAAATGTGCGCAGTAACCAATAACTGACAGACTTGAAAGAAATAACCTGATTTTTTTTTTTGCGCAGAGGTGGGTTTTGGTCTCTCTCTAGTTGGCCCTGCCACTGCCAGCTGCAACTGCATTCCTGATTGCCTAGAAAGAAGATCCTTTGAAATCTGACATCTGTATCCAGACAGCAACATAATGATTCTGTAGCCAAGTTAGAAATAAGAATGGCTCTTGCACCTGCTCTCACCATGTAAAACGCCTGCTTCCCCATCACTTTTCAGCATGACTATAATCTCTCTAAAGTCCTCACCACAAGCAGATACGAGCACTATGCTTTTTGTGCCATCTGAAGAACTGATTCCGGAACCTAAATGCTTAAACACCAACTGTTTGGTCTGGTTATAAGAAAGTGGGTAAATTTTATACTCAAAAATTTTAGAAATTATCGAGTTTAGAGAGCGTATGGAGAGTTGATGCTGAAGCCAAAGTTGAAGAGAGAGGAATTTGGCAACACTGCACAGAGTGCTTAAAGGTTAGGGCTAGTTCCCACCCTCAAATGGCTCCTGGGAACGGCAGCATGGCTATGAATGCCAGGGAGTATCAAAGAGCCATGAGGTTGGGTATTTGCCTAGCTACTTACTGGCCATTAGTCTTAATCATCATCTGCTACTAAATCACATCCCACAATACAACACCAAAAATTATCCTCTTAACATATACACCTGTGAAACGAAGTGCAAAAATTCACCCACACATCAAGATCCTGTAAAGAGCTCAGGCCCCTTGAAAGCATCCAGAAATGAAGCTAACTGACTATACTTAACTCACACCACCGTTAAAGGAATATCAACCCTCCTAGATGAGACAGAAATTAGTGCAAGAACTCTGGCCATCCAAAAAACCGGAGTATTCTCTTACCTCCAAAAAAGCCCACTTGCACCCCCACCCCCAACACTGGTTTTTTAAGGAGTCTGAAGTGACAGAAAACACAGATATAGAATTCAGAATTTTAATGGTGAAGAGGCTAGTCTAGATTCAGGAGAAGGATAAAACTCAATGCAAGGAATCTAGCAGAACAATTTAACAGCTGAAAGACAAAATAGCCATTCTAGGAAAGAACAAAACAGAAATTCTAAAGCTGAAAAATTCACTACAAGATCTTATAATACAATCAGGAGTATTAACAGCAGAATAGACCAAGCAGATGAAATAATCTCAGAGCTCGAAAACCATATCTTCAAATCAACCCAGACAGGCAAAAATAAAAAAAGAGAATTTTTAAAAATGAACAAAACCTCTGAGAAATATGGGATTATGTATAGAGACCAAATCTATGATTTACTGGCCTTTCTGAGACAGAAGGAGACAAGACTTGGAAACTGTATTTGATGATGTAGTCCATAAAAAATTTCCTAATCTCACTAGAGATTTTCATGTGTAAATCAAATAAATACAGAGAACCCTGCCTAGATACTATATAAGATGACCATGCTCAAGACACATAGTTATCAGATTCACTGAGGTCAATACAAAAGGAAAAATCTTAAAGGTAGCCAGAGAAAAGTGTCAAGTCACATACAAAGGGAAGCCCATAAGGATAGCACCAGACCTATCATCAGAAACTTAAATGCCAGCAGAGATTGGGGGCGGGGGGGCTTCAGTATTCTTAAAGAAAAGAAATTCAAATGAATAATTTAATATTCCACCAAACTAAGCTTCATAAGTGAAGGAAAATGAAGTCTGTCTCAGAAAAGGAAATGCTGAGGGAATTCGCTTCAAGTAGACCAGTCTTACAAGAGGTCCTGAAGGGAGTGCTAAACATGGAACTGAAAGAATGACACCTGCTACCACAAAAACACACTTAAGCACATAGTCCATAAGCACTGTAAAACAACTACACAATCAAATCCTCATAACAACCAGCTAACAGCAAGATGACAGTATCAAAAGCTCTCATATCAATATTAACCCTAAATGTAAATGGGCTGAATGGCTGGATTCGGTTTGCTAGTGTTTCGTAGAGAATTTTTGCAACTAAGTTCATCAGGGATATTGTTGTGTCTCTGCCAGCTTTTGGTGTTAAGAAGATGCTGGCTTCATAGAATGAGTAAGGGAGGAGTTCTTCCTGGATTTTTTGAATAGTTTCAGTAAGATGGATACCAGTTCTTTGTACATCTGGTAGAATTTGGCTGTGCATTCAACCAAATTCTAGTAGAATTTGGCTGTGAGCATTTTTTTTTTCTTGGTAGGTTTGTTATTACTCACTCAACTTCAGAGCTAGATATTCATCTATTCAGGGTTTCAATATCTTCCTGATTCCATCATGGAGAATTATGTGTTTCCAGGAATTTATCCCTTTCCTTTTGATATTCTAAATTGTGTCCATAGAGTTGTTCATACTATTCTTTGACGATCTTTTGTATTCTTTGACGATCTTTTGTATTCTTTGGGATCTGTTGTAATGTCATCTTTTTCTATTTCTGATTGTGCTTATTTGAATCCTCCCTTTTTTCCCTTTGTTAATCTAGCTAGTGGTCTATCAATACTGTTTATTTTTTTCAAATAATCAACTCTTGATTTCATTGAACTCTTTTATGAATTTCTGCATCTCAATTTCTTTTATTTCTTCTTTAATTTTAATTTTTTTCTGTTAGCTTTGGGGTTAGTTTCCTCTATTTTTTCCTAGTTCCATTAAGTGCAAAGTTATATTGATAACTTCAAATTATTCTAACTTCTTGATGGTGTTTGTAACTATCTAGCAGCACATAGAAAAGTTAATACACTGTGACCAAGTAGGCTTTATCTCTGGGATGCAAGGTTGTTCATCATATACAAGTCAAGAAATGTTATTCACCACATAAACAGAATTGAAAGCAAAATACATGATTATCTCAATATATGTATAAAAATCTTTTGATAAAATTCAACATCCCTTCATGATAAAAAGCCTCAAGAAACTAGGCATCAAAAAACATACCTCAAAATAATAAGAACTATCCATGCCAAACCCGCAGCCAACATCACACTAAACAGGCAAAAGCTGGAACCATTCCCCTTGAGGATTAGAATATGAGAGGTATGCCCACTCTCACCAGCCCTATTCAAAATAATACTGGAAGTTCCAGCCAGAGCAATCAGGCAATAAAAATAAATAAAAGGGACCAAAATAGGAAAAAAAAAAGATATCAAACTATCTCTCTTTGTCGATGATATGATTCTATAGACAGGAAACCCTAAAGACTACACCAAAAAGACTACTAGAACAGGTAAACAATTTTAGTAATGTTTCAGAATACAAAATCAATGTTCAAATGTCAGTAGCATTTCTATACAATAATAACATCCAGGCTGAGAGTCAAAGCAAAAACACAATTCCACTTGCAATAGCCACAAAAAATAAAAGATATACTTAGGAAGACAGCTAACTAAGAAGGTGAAATGTCTCTACAAGTAGAACTACAAAGCACTGCTGAAATAAATCAGAGATGATGCAAATAAATAAAAAAAACATTCTATGCTTATGGATTGGAAGAATCAATATCATTAAAATGGCCATCCTGCCAAAGCAACTTATAGATTCAACACAATTTCTATCAAAATACCAACATCATTCTTCACAGAATTAGAAAAATAATCTAACATTCATATAGGACCAAAAAAAGATCCCAAATATACAAAACAATCCTAAGCAAACAAACAAACAAAAAACAAACTTGGTAGCATCACACTACCTGACTTCAAACTTTACAAGAAGATGACAGGAATGAAATCAGCATGACACTGGTACAAAAACAGACAAAAAGACCAATGGAATAGAACAGAAACTCAGAAATAAAGGTGCACACCTACAACCATCTTATTTTTGACAAGACTGACAAAAATAAGCAAAGGGGAAAAGGCTCTCTATTCAATAAATGGTGCTGGGATAATTGGCTAGCCATATGCAGAAGATCAAAGCTGGACCCATATCTTTTACTATATACAAAAATTAACTCAAAATGTATTAAAGATGTAAATGGAAGACCTCAATCTATAACAAGTCCTAGAAGAAAATTAGGAAATATCCTTCTCAACATCAGCATTGGAAAATAATTTTTGGCTAAATCCCCAAAAGCAATTGCATCAAAAACAAAAATTGACAAGTGGAACCTAATTAAGCAAATGGGCTTCTGCACAGCAAAAGAAACTATCAATAGAGTAAACAGACAACCAACAAAATGGGAGAAATATTTGCAAACTATGTATCCCACATAGGTCTAAACATAGGTCTAATATTTAGAATCTACAAGGAACTTAACAAGTAAAAACAACTCCATTATAACATTGGCAAAAGACATGAACAAGCAATTCTTGAAAGGACATTCAAGCAGCAAACAATCATATGAAAAAGTGCTCATCATCTTTAATCATCAAAGAAATCCAAATAAAAACTACAATGAGATACCATCTCACATCAGTTAGAATGGCTATTAATAAAAAGTCAATGATAACAAGGCTGGGCGTGGTGGAACACAACTGTAATCCTAGCAGTTTGGGAGGCCAAGGCATGTAGATCACTTGAGGCCACGAGTTTGAGACCAGACTGGCCAACACGATGAAACCCCATGTCTACCAAAAATACAAAACTTAGCTGGGCATGGTGGCACACACCTGTAACCCCAGTTACTCAGGAGGCTGAGGCAGGAGAATCGCTTGAACCCGGGAAGTGGAGGTTTCAGTGAGCCGAGATGGTGCCCCTGCACTCCAGCCTGGATGACAGAGCAAGATGCTGAAAAAAAAAAAAAAGTAAATGATAATAGATGCTGGTGAGGCTGCAGAGAAAAGAAAACACTTATGCACTGTTAGTGGGAATGTAAACTAGTTCAGCCACCGTGGAAAACAGTTTGGAGATTTCTCAAAGAATTTAAAACAGAGCTATGATTCAACCCAGCAATCCCACTATTTAATATATATCCAAAGGAAAATATATTATTATTATACCAAAAAGACATAGCTACTTGTATGTTCATTCACAGTAGCAAAGACATGGTATCAATATAGTTGCCCATTTATGGTGGACTGCATAACGAAAATGTGGTACATATACACCATGGGTTACTATGCAGCCATAAAAAGTATGAATTCATGTTCTTTGCAGCAATATAGATGAACTGGAGACCATAATCATAAGTTAATTAATGCAGGAAAAGAAAACAAAATGCCACAGGTTCTCATTTATAAGTGAGAACTAAACACTGAGTACACATAGACATAAGCATGGGACAACAGACATCGTGGACTACTAGAGTGGAGAGGGAGGGTGGTGTGGGCTTAAAAACTACCTACTGGGTACTATGCTCACTACCTATGTGCAGTATACTCATGTGAGAAAGCTGCAGTTGTACAATCTGTATTTAAAATAAAAGATGAAATTTCTTAAAAAAGAAGTAAGATGATTTTTTTTTTACTGATCATGGTGCACATATGTCATTTGCATGGTTATTTCTAATATTAGAAAGAAGAGCTAGCAGTGAAGCTTGTACTTATACTGCACAGTTAATATACCATTATGTCTAAACTTGTACTCATCCAAGCCATGCCAAGAGGACAACTTGTCTATTATGTGTATTTATAAAGGTATGAATAAATTCCATTGTTTTCTTTGTTACAACAACCATGTGTTTATCATTTTAATTTGGAAAATTTCAAATGAGTTACTGTGTAACAAAAATGAGGCGTATTATTTGCATGTGTAAGAGATACTGAAGATATTGCCCGTTTCGTCTCATAATTCACCTCTATCTATCCATGGTGCCAATTACAAACACCTGAGACTCTCTGCCTAAGGATTTTTTTTCTTCCTTGTTGTGGGTACACTAAGCCAGAGCAGTTAATCTGAAAGGGCAGGAACGTTAAATCTTTGGAAGTAGCCCTCAACCAGTGATGGAAGAAAAGTTGTCAGATACGCACAAACTTCTTGCTCTTCATTTGTCCTAACTCCAGGGAATGTTCTTTACTGTCTCTCAAAATATTGAAGAGGGATTTCCTTCTGCTTCTCTGGTGGTAATTTGCTTAGTAATCACATTTTATTGACTTCCTTTCTGGCCTTGTCTCATGTGTCCGTATTCTACCAGTGTTTTCTGAAAATAAATATATAACTTTCATTCTCATCCTTGAGGATGTCCTTCTGGAGAAACGCAAAATAAAGAAGTAAAAACAAAAGAAATTAATTCTGAGTAATTTCAGGAAAAATGCAAAATATGCCAAAAAATCATACCAAATACCAAAAAAGTATAATGATAAAATACTGGTTTCATAAAAAATATTTGTAAGTGCATTTGTTCTTTGTTCAGATTCACACATACAGACATCTCTTCTCCAGGTTGTGAGGAGTAGAGCATTATCACTCAAAGAGAAGTAAGTTCATTACTATAAAAGATCTTCAGTTGGAAGTTGACAAGTACAGGAAATTCTGTTAAAGTATTTGACTATTTCAAAATTCAGAAAAGGTAGAAACAAGGAAGGTTTAGGGAACTCAGCAAAAAGGCAAGTTTATACTTTTGTCCTAGAATATCCTCCAGACAATATTGTGAATAAGTTATACCATGAGAATATAAGTTATTTGAATTCACATACAGTAATGAATAAAACCCTTGATATTTGTCTCCAAATTAGGACATCCTCATCTATGATTTTTATTTTTACTCATTTTTAATGAATTATGGATGGGGAAAACACTTTCAAGGCATTTTTAGCTTGAATGTATTATTCTGTTTCTTGTGAGCAATCTTCAGTAATTCTGTATCACAGAACTCACAACAAGCATGGAATTAAATTGCTTCCATGAAAAACATCTTGAATTTGGTGTGTTGTTTCTTTGATTGGAGATACATGTTGACTATCACTATCTACAGAAATGTGCAATTTAATCATAGATTTCACTGTGTGAAGAAGAACTGAAACTCTGAGTAATGGGGCAGAACGCATTTCCAAAAGATTATTTAGGTTTAAAATTTTCTTGAGAGAAATCAGGTTGCAACTTTTAAAACCTACAACCTCATGTTTTTTCATTATGAAATTGGAAAGAGTGCTGACAATTTGAAACTAACTTTTGGGATTTGTTTTATTCCATGAAGAATAGCATAAAAATGTAGGAGAAAACACAATCTATTATTGGTTGACAATGACAATTAGAAAGGAGAGACAGGCGTAACTGAAATACTGAAATAAACATATTATGGAATGCATTAGTCCATTCTCACATTGCTATAAATAAATATCTGAGACTGGGTAATTTATAAGAAAAGAGTTTTAATTGGCTCATGATTCTGCAGGCTTACAGGATGCATGATACTGGCATCTGCCTGGCTTCTGTGGAGGCCTCAGGAAACTTACAATCATGGCAGAAGGTGAAGGGGAAGCAGGAACATCACAAGACAAAAGGAGGAACGAGAGAGAACAATATTGGAAGTGCTACAAACTTTTTAATGACCAGATCTCAAGAGAACTCACTCATTATTGCAAGGACAATGCCAAGGGGAATGGTGCTAAAACATTCATGAGAAATCTGCCCCTATGATCCAAATGCCACCCACCAGGCCCCAACTGCAACATTGGGAATTACATTTCAATATGAGATTTGGGCAGGGACACACATCAAAACCATATCATGGAGATTTCTCATTTTCTCTAGGGCCCTGGTGATCAAATTTCTGTTCTATAGCATAACAATCGTGCTCACTCCTAAACATCTTGGTGCTCCCTTTCTCTGTTTACTATAAATACTGCCTGGGTAATATCACAGGGTAACCGAACTTCAAGTTTTTCTATTTGTTGATGTTTCTTAAAAACAAACAGACAAATACAACTCTGGGTGTTCTCTTTTCTTATGAACTTCAAATCAATAACTCCAAATGTCCAGTGGAATAGTTCTGCCTCCATATAATTAATCTTAAAGCACTCATGCTAAAATAGTTATTTTGGAGCCACTACCATGCCCTAACCTATCCTTTTCTTTTCTGATTCTTTTCTGGGTAGTAACAACTCCATGAAAACATTCATACAAGCAAGAAATAATTGAAAATCTAGACTTCAAACCTTTTTTTCTTACCCTTTTAAGAAATCCAACAATTTACAAATTCCTGTTGAGTTCACTATCTGAGATTCTCTTGCATCTTTTTTCCTTTTCATCTGCACTACCATTTCTCTCTGAGGCTTTCGTCTCCTATCCCAGTTCATTACACCCTACAATTTACCCTCCATACTATCAACAGTATAACTTTTAAAAATGCAAATGTGATTGCTACACCTTGTTCTCACACTCTTCATTGTTTCTGCACCACCTACCTAACAAATCAAATGGTATCTCAGGCCTTTTCCACTTGTATATCTGGTGATACAGAAAACAGGATATTTGGAAAAACTTTACATGTAAAAAAACATGAAATTATTGAAGCAATACTCTAGAGAACCATTTTTATAGAACCATCACTGTTCTGACAAGAGAGTAAGGCGCATTCTGTGAGACCATAAGCAAATTTAAACACATAGATGTATTGAGTTAAATAGCAGCAAAGATGGAGCTGCCTTATGAACACTTACCAGTTCCTACTGACCTGCTCCTTCATTTATTTTGGCTACATAATGAACTATAAACAAAACCTTGAAAATGAGCATGCAACTAAGTTCAACTTGGAAATGCCCCTTCCTAAATTAAGATTGAGCAATGATACAGTTCCCATCCTTTAGTAATGTTGTGACAGAGAAATCCCCAAGCTAAAATGTTAAAATGACTAAAGAACAAAAAGCAGAAATAAAGAGGGAGGCAGGTAGGGAGAGAGAAAAAAAAAAAAGAGGGAGGGAAGAGGAGGAAAAGGAGAGGAAAGGAAGGATAAGAAACAAAGAAAGGAAGGAAAAAAGAAGGGAAAGAAAAAAGACAGAAAAATAAATCCACATCTAGATACATTGTCGTGAAGTCAAGTTGCTATGGTTTGAATGTGTCCCCTGCAAAATTCAGGTGTTGCCAATGTCATCTCATTAAAAGGTGAGATTTTCAGATGTGATTGGGCCATAAGGGATCCTTCATAGTTAATGGGATTAAGAGGCTCCATTCATCTATCAGATAGCTTGTTTTTTTGTCCTTCCACCTTCTGCCATGTGAGGACATAGCATTCTTTTTTCTCCAGAGGATGTGGCAAGAAGGCCTTCACTAAATATCAAATGCTGGCATCTTGATGTTGGACTTCCAGAACTATGATTTCCAGAACTATGACTTCCAGAACTATGACAAATAAATTTCTGATTTTTATAAATTATCCAGTCTGTCATATTCTGTTATAGCAGTTCTGGAATTCCCAGTCTTTGGTATTCTACTATAGTAGCATAAAGAAAGACACAAATTAAAAAAAAATTACTAAAGCAACTAACAAGAAAGAATGTTTATAAAAGAGCCAAAAAAATCAAAATTGACCTTTTAAAACAGAAGGGTATAAAAAGTATCTTTAAATCTTTGAGGAAAATAATTATCTAGAAATAAGTATCAGAAAACAGAGAATTTAACATGAATAGAATCTCACTAAAGATGTTTTAGTTGTCTACTGATTCATAAACAGTTATCACAACTCAGGAGTTTAAAACAACCCCCATTTATTTTCTCATAGTATGCAGCTCAGAGAGCAGGTAAGCTCGATTGAGTTCTTTGTCAAGGTTTTCATCAGGCTGAAATCAACCTATCAACAGGGCTAAGCTTTATCTAATTATCTATTACCAAGCTCATTCTGTTATTAGCAAAATCCTGTCCTTGCTGTTGTCACATTATAGTTTCTGTTTTCTCTTGGTTAGGTAATGCTCTGATCTCCAAGATGCTGTTCTCAAACCTTGCTCTATGGCCTCCTCAGCTCAAAGCCACCGACAAAGAACCTCTCCCACATCAAATCCCTCTCATATTTTAAATCTGAGTTCCCCTTTTGCAACCAGTTAAATAAATCTCTCTGTTTCTAAAGGGCTCAAGGGATTATGTTAGGCCCACCCGGATAATCTCTGCTTCCTAATCTGTGCCATATAACATAATAGAAGCATGAACAATATATTTCATCATATTTACAAGTTTCATTCACATTCAGAGGCAATAGGATTATATAAGAGAGAGTATCATTGAAAATCATTTTAGGATTCTGCCTACCATGAAAAGCTGTTTACAATTCGACTTAACAAAGTAGAAAAATTATTTACAAATGTATAATCAAAAGTGTAAGAAAGAATATTGAATAAATAAAATAGTAATCATGTGAGTAACTTTAAATAAAAACTAGCTAAATAAATTAATGATAATATTGCCTAATATTTGGGATTAAATCAATTTAAAATAGTTGAAGCACTTATCTCTGGAGTAAAGCTGGAGTTAAATCATTCTAAATCTTTATATTGTTTAAGAATGGGGTAAAACCACTAATTTACTTCATACATATTTTTTAAATCCATGTTATGATTTTCAAAAAATCCACTAAAATATAAGAAGGTACATAACTAACAAAGAGAATGAGAAAATATAAAAAAATCATAATTTCAATTAATCAAAAAGTAGAAAGGAAGAAAAAAATTAGAAAAAGCTATACAAGTAGAAAGGACAAAGGAAGCTTATAAAAGTGAGTTTATATAGTAATCAAACTGAATGTGACTGAAATGAACTCTCCAGTTAATACACAAAGATGATTAAACTGAATTAACAACAGAAAAGTGTCTGTTTGTTGTTTATAAGAGCTAAGTATTAAACATCGGATAAAAGTCAAACGTAAAAGTATAAAATAGATATATCAGACAAAAGTAGCAAAAAGAAAGCTTGTGCTATGATATTAACATTTGATGAAACAGAGTTGAAGACAAAGCATTTCTAGAGACAAAGAGAAACATTGTATAATTATAAAAAGTTTAATTTTTGAGTAATATATAATGCATCTAATAAATAGCTTCCAATTATATAAAGCAAAAAAAATGACTAAAATACAAGGAGAAAATAACAAATATGCCATGACATTGACCCAAGCTTAATCTACCACTGTTAGCACTGAATAATCAAAGAAATGCAATACCTTATGAAAAGCACAATTAACAAGTTTTGTTTATTGAGCCCACCTAGATACTATAACCAACACCGGATAATGCATTTTGTCTTTTCTAAGCTATATGGACTATCAATACAAACTGCCAGTGTCCTGGCCATAATAAGCCATGGCCATGCTGAGTCCCATTATTTTTCCATTTTCCTCTATGCTCTGACAATACTAACACATGAAAGTTTTTATTTGCAGGCTTTTGCCTACGCTGACTCTTCTCCCACTGATCTTCTTTAGTCCCCTTCTTCCCAAGTGACTTATTTACTCATTGTAAACAAAATAGAGTTATCTCTTTTGAGAAGCCTTTCCTAACCCCGAATGAACTTGATTATTCTGTTGTGTTTATTACCCATTTATCTTCATCCATTTATTTGTTTACATAGTCAATCATTTTTCTGATGTTCTTTCAGTGTGCCACAGGCTGTGCACTTATTAGGGATATACCAGTGAGAGGGGAAAAAAAAGTCCTACCTAATGGAATGTCTAGACTGCTGGTGAGAACAGATTTTAATTAAATAATCAATGAGAATAGAAATGCATACTCCAAAAAAAACAGAGCAATATAGTGTATGAGAACACTTAATAGAGGTATCCAACATTATCTGAGGGGCTTGAAAACCTTTTTGAATAAAATTTTGAATACTTATGATTTACAAATAGACTTATTTCATATATACTGATATGACTCCAGGCATTCTTTCTAGGATTATGCACTTTTACTATTTTAATTTAATTTATTTGATTCCACATACTATGTAATGTAATTGTTGCTTTATTTGGTTAATGTTTATTTAAAATAACTCACACAATTACCATTTTCTTTGCTCAACACTCCTCCTTACACTTTTTATAATACTTAGGTAATAGATTTTCTTTTTAAAAAATAGAGTCATGGATCCATTGGATTTGGTTAAATTAACAATTAGACCTTCTTAATACAAAGCACTGTCTCTTATCTCAGGTTAATGTTTCTAATACTTTTTGCTACCCTTAACGAAAAAAATAGAAAATAAGAAAATAAAAAAAATAACACAACTTACCCAGAGTTGCACAACTTACGGAAATACTTGTTAAAAATGAAATTCATGCCATATATATTTTGTTTTTTGCTTGTTTCATTTAAGCAAACATTAAGATTATATTGTAAAGTATTTGTGGGCATCTGTCTGTAAATATTTACAGAAGAAACATACCAGTTATATTCTCACTCTATAGCTATAATAATCAATCTATAAGATATAAACATTAATGAGCTAAGCAAAAGTAAAATGTTTCCAAACTAAAATGAGGGACACTGTCATAAATCAGTAAATAAAAGCTTCATGCTAGTGAAGAAATCATATCTTCTTGGTAACATGGATACCCTGGGATGTAACCAGCAGAGAGATGATAAATACCTCTCGACTAATGTGCCAGGCATGGTTTAAGCCCTTCAAATATGCAACACCACAAAATCATCACATAAGTCTTATAGGCCGGGTGCAGTGGCTCACGCCTTTAATCTTAGCACTTTGGGAGACTTAGGCGTGTGGATCACCTGAGGTCAGGAGTTGGAGACCAGCCTGGCCAACATGGTGAGACCCCCATCTCTACTAAAAATATAAAAATTAGCTGGGCATAGTGGTGGGTGCCTGTAATCCCAGCTACTCGGGAGGCTGAGGCAGGAGAATTGTCTGAACCTGGGAGGTGGAGGTTGCAGTGAGCCGAGATGGTGCCATGGCACTCCAGCCTGGGCAATAAGACTGAAACTCTGTTTCAAAAAAAAAAAAGTCTTATGAAGGACAACTGCGGGCAAATTATTGGATAATCATTGTGAGTCAGAGACTTAATGGACATTTTTTATTTGAGTTAATATAAAATATTCACAACTGTTGTATTCATAGTAGTGACAAAAAGCAAAAGTTTTGAATGAAAGGTTACTTAACTTGATCACAAAGTAGTTTGCCCATGGCAGGTGTTTGGAATCTAGTTAACTCCCGAATCTGGGCACTGTTTCCTGAATCACTGCTTTTCGAAACCCTTTCAATCTCCTTGTTTAATACTACTCAAGCTGCATTTTTACACTGTGCACTGAAAACGTTTTTCCAACATAACATGTTTCTATCCTGCCCCAGAAATTTTGTGGTGTTTCTTTCCTGTCATTATCATTTTTGAGATTTGCTGAACACTTCGTTTCAAAGTTTATGCTTCTCAAACTCATGGAATGATGCCAAAGCAAAGACTTGTCTCAAAACAAGTTTGCAATAATACATTTTAATCCAAAAAGAGCTGTTATCTAAGAATTTTCCCAATATTCTAAGAGCACAGGTGGAACATTTCTTCAGGTTTATTTGCAAAAGCTATGTAGCCTCATAAAAATCCATATTCAGATGTAAAACAATTTGCCCGCGCAGCTGCCTCAAACTCCAAGCCCACTAATCAGCTAAGGATTGTATGAGGGCCTCAGAAGAACACTAGCTCTTGTTCAGGTATGGGCGCTTTTCAAAATGCAGGAGCAGCGTAACATTCAGAGTTTCTTTAAGACAATTATATTCTGCTGCTAATTAAAGTGTAGTGTTGTTGAATTTTCTCTCATTGCTCCACAGGTATAAGGCATGTGCCAAGAATGAATGAACACTAAAACATAATTGTTCTGAATTTCATTTTTGTCTTTGAAACATTTTATAGTACATATATAGTTTTTACTTTTTATTCACGTATTTATTGAATAATCATTGAATATCTATTATGAACTATGTATGATAATAGAATAAACAGACAGTTCCTGTACTCAAATAGTTTGTGATTTTGGTAATGAGGAAAAAGCCCATACTCTTCAGAATCATTAGAGAGTGGTAAATGATACTGCATAACTATTTATTTTGTTCAATTAATATTTAATGACTTCCGTTTAGTTTTCATGTCCAACTGATGAACTGTTGCTACATTGTCATAGTTTTGGAATCCATATTGATTTCAAGATAGTTTCTATATTTTAGGTTCTCTTCATCTAACATTTACATTATTTCAAAGTCCTTTTTGATATCTTCCTTCTATTGATTCCCCCTACCTAATTCTATCCTCATGAACTTTCCAAGAAAATTTTATCAAACTATTTAATGATTACACTTCTCTAGTGTATACAAATAAATCATGATCCTTATTTCCATAAAAAAATAACAAATGTTTTTATTGAGCGTATAGGTTGTGCAAAGAATTATGCTGCATAAGACAGTCCCAAAGATGAACAACATGCCCAAATATGTCTATGTATACCTAACTTGTAATACACCACAGCATAGCTTTTATAAATATGTTGGCACAATTTGCAAATACATTTTCTTATCCAAAGTTAACATATGTCCAGAAGTCTCATCCACATCAAATAAGAAAATGGTGCTGTGAAAACTGGCTAGCCATATGTAGAAAGCTGAAACTGGATCCCTTCCTTACACCTTATACAAAAATTAATTCAAGATGGATTAAAGACTTACATGTTAGACCTAAAACCATAAAAACCCTAGAAGAAAACCTAGGCAATACCATTCAGGACATAGGCATGGGCAATGACTTCATGTCTAAAACACCAAAAGCAATGGCAACAAAAGACAAAATTGACAAATGGGATCTAATTAAACTAAAGAGCTTCTGCACAGCAAAAGAAACCACCGTCAGAGTGAACAGGCAACCTACAGAATGGGAGAAAATTTTTGCAACCTACTCATCTGACAAAGGGCTAATATCCAGAATCTACAATGAACTCAAACAAATTTACAAGAAAAAAACAAACAACCCCATCACAAAGTGGGTGAAGGATATGAACAGACACTTCTCAAAAGAAGACATCTATGCAGCCAAAAAACACATGAAAAAATGTTCATCATCACTGGCCATCAGAGCAATGCAAATCAAAACCACAGTGAGATACCATCTCACACCAGTTAGAATGGCGATCATCAAAAGTCAGGAAACAACAGGTGCTGGAGAGGATGTGGAGAAATAGGAACACTTTTACACTGTTGGTGGGATGGTAAACTAGTTCAACCATTGTGGAAGTCAGTGTGGCCATTCCTCAGGGATCTAGAACTAGAAATACCATTTGACCCAGTCATCCCATTACTGGGTATATACCCAAAGGATTATAAATCATGCTGCTATAAAGACACATGCACACGTATGTTTATTGTAGCACTATTCACAATAGCAAAGACTTGGAACCAACCCAAATGTCCAACAATGATAGACTGGATTAAGAAAATGTGGCACATATACACCATGGAATACTATGCAGCCATAAAAAAGGATGAGTTCATGTCCTTTGTAGGGACATGGATGAAGCTGGAAACCATCATTCTCAGCAAACTATCACAAGGACGAAAAACCAAACACGGCATGTTCTCACTCATAGGTGGGAATTGAACAATGAGAACACATGGACACAGGAAAGGGAACATCACACACTGGGGACTGTCGTGGGTTGTGGCGGGGGAGGGATAGCATTAGGAGATATACCTAATGCTAAATGACGAGTTAATGGATGCAGCACACGAACATGGCACATGTATACATGTGTAACAAACCTGCATGTTGTGCACATGTACCCTAAAACTTAAAGTATAATAATAATAAAAAAGACTGTCTCTTTTGTATTCCATTTCATGTTTGGAAGGGGGCAGTTTCTCTTTATTAGAACCAAATTGTGTCATAACTTCAGTATGGCTTCAGCATGGCAGACATGTTGAATTTGCTAGGTATATACAATGAACTTCCAAAACACATGTAATAAACTTTGTTGGGGTGATCGGGCCCAACACCAGGTCATGGGGGTGATGAAGTCTGGCGGAGTGAAAGGAATAAGAAAAGACACTTTGAGAGAGAAAGTAGGTCCAGGGGCCCATCACGAGTGTGGAGGCTGCAAAGGCCCTGAGCTCTGGAAGCCCAGACTATTTATTGGTGATCAAACAAAGAAACAGGTGGTGAGAATGTGGGGGTGAAAGGGAGCATTGCATTAAGCACATGATTTACAGCTTGATGGTTTGGCATGTGCCCTGCTACCTGAGATAATGGAGAGCCGGTTCTTTTAACTCAAGATACAATCAATCCCAGGAGAGCAAGGAGCAAGGAGTCAGCCAGTGTAGACACATTCCAGAGGCCACAAGCCCTGGATTCTATCCAAGCCACGACGGGTTTTACGCCTTGGGCTTAGATTATGGTACATCCGGGTAGCCTTCCACCCTTTAGCACAGAGCTTGGTGTTCCAAAGGCCACAAGCGGTTTTAGACCCTGAACCCCAGACATGTTCAAAGACTTTTACATTATGTCAGACATGCAAACCCTGCCTCAGCTTCTCCCAACACTCAGCTTTTCCCAACAAACTTCTGCACAAAAAAGATTCCAGCTAGAAAAGATCTGATTCATGATATATTTGTCCTACTATTTAAATAATAATCCTGGAAACAAGAATCAGTTTTCCAACATGAAAATGTATACAGTGCTAGGGATTTATTATAAATTGGTATCAATTCAGATATTATGCCATGGAATGCAGAATTTAAATTACAGAGCATTAAAGTATGCAATTCCACATGCTCATAAAAAATTGCAATAACATTTCCTATTACTTTTTTAGGTCAAAAAAAGGAAAGGAAAGTTTGAATGCAGGAACAGAAAACCAAACACTGCATGTTCTCACTTATAAGTGGGAGCTGAATGGTAAGAACACATGGACATATGGAGGGGAGCAACACACATTGGGGTCTGTTGGAGAGCCAAGGGAGAGACAGCAGCAGGAAGAATAGCTCATGTATGCCAAGCTTAATAAGTAGGTGATGGGATGATCTGTGCAGCAAACCACCATGACACACGTTTACCTATGTAACAAAGCTGCACACATACCCCAGAACTTAAGATAAAAGTTGAATAAAATAATAATAATAATAAAGTTTGGCAAATTACATAATTTTAAAGAAACAAATTATCTTGATACACAACTTAACATTAGTTATACACATGAGCACATAATTGCATACTCTGTCTTAACATTAGTTTAGGGCTATTTTGTTGGGGTTGGTCAAGACAAGAGAACTGAGTTCCTCTAATGTCAAAGGTATGGCAAGGCTGGAGAACAGAATTAAAAACAATTCCAAGGTTCCAGTGATGTCAAGGCTGTGATCTGAATAGCAATGCAAGAATCAGGCCTATAGTATTAGAGATAATTCTCACAGGTTAAACATAATTTTGTATACACGGCCTCTTCAGAATATCTCTTCTGTCTGTTAGTTCCTGACAAGCAGATTGCGGTACTGAAATTTCGCAAGTGATAGTTAAAGCCATCCCTGAGCCAACCTGGGGATATCAATAAATGTCTCATTTCTTGAATATTCTCTCTTACATATTTTTCAGATTCTTCTCTTAACTCAGTTTTATAATCTATTAAGGAAATAAGATTGGTGATTTTGGGCGGGGTTGTTAGGGAGAAGGTGGAAATTTCTTGAAGAAAAATAATCACAATATAAAATAAACAACAATTGCATGGTAACATAAACTTTCAAATGTACTTCATGTTTTGTGATAATTTGTTTCAATGTAAAGATTTATGAAATCGAAGTTTGTCATTACAACATGGCCAATATCTAGTCCTAAACTGTTTGCTTTGAGCACATACTTGACATCCAATAAGAGAACAATTTATTGTTTTAAAGGAGGTTAGAAGAAAAGTAATAATTTCTGAATGCCTTTCTATTTGGCAGTTTGTAAGCGGTTTTTACCATTTTCATATTTAAATGGCCATGGACTTTAGTGGTTGTGAATGGGTTTTCTTCTTTGGGCATGTCAGTAGTTCAATGCTATAATGAAAGAGAAAGGGTAAGCAAATGCTGACATGTAGCAGAACAGCCTGATGTAGATCTTATTCTGATAGTGGTTCATTTTCCTTTCTGATCTGTTTACTGGCTCACCAACAACTAACTATATGTAAGTTTTCTATTACAGATAAAACTATTTTTAACCAGGGGAAAAAATTCCTTGAGTTTGTGTTATTTCAGTGGCTAGGATGCTAGAAATTATTCATATAGTTTATACTCCCCACCGAACGTCAAAACTTACTAACTATTGGGTACTATTGGGTACTATGTTTAGAACTGGATCATTCGTATCCCAAACCTCAGCATCATTCAATATACCCAGGTAACAAACTTGCACATGTATCTCTGAATCTAAAATGAAAGTTGAAAAAAAAAAAAACTTACCTTAAAACCTATGCTATCTGGCTGCTCTGACTTTTGAAGATTTTTTAAAATTCCAAATCAGGGTAAATAAAACATTTAGAACTGACACTGCCTACACCACTTAGAAAATGAGATCAGTGACAGAGACGAGACAGTCTGACTTAAAGGTGCTAGAGACTTTCAACATTTCTTTGCTTCTCAGCCAGAACTAGAAGTTTCATAAGTCTAAGCAATTTATTTGTTTAAAAAATAGTCTTCTGAAACTCCAAAACCAATAAGCCATCTTTCCCCATAATTTTTGTTTACTACTTACTATTTCTGAATGTGAATAAAAGGTATTTATATCAATATTTTAGTTGATTAAAGAAGATTGAATTCAATGTAATTTGTAATGCAATTTATTTATTTCTTAAATTTTGATAATTATCTCTTGGATGTTATAAACATAATTGTTTCACAATCTCAGATTAGATTTGGCAACATGCTGAATTTATGCATGTTATCAGCACAGGGAAATATGTCAACAAGGATTCCCTCAGTAATGTTGAGTGAATAAGGAAGAGCTCAGCACGGAATCCCAGACACTTGGTATACCACCAGAAATGTGAAGAACCACTCACTGGAGATGCTGGTGGAGGGGCCCAACTCCTACTTATGGAGGCCCAGACTTTCATCCCTTTGAGGCCTGTTGAGCCCCCTGGCCTGCGAGGACTGGATCTGCCTAGGTTAATGTGCCTTGGGAACGCCACCCAAAGCAGGTGGTAAATGCCATCTACTCATATTAGAAAACGGTACATATATGTGAACATAAGAAATGTGCAGCCCTTAAACAGCCCTTTGTGTCTTGAAAAACCTCTTATAAGCTAACTATATACAAGAACTCCTTAAATTCAATTAGAGATACACAAATAAATAAATGACTTCCATTGTAACAAGGTCTTCTAGAAATCTTGGCAGATAACTATGTTGTAATATTTATTTTTTGCACATATTTTCTGCCTGTTTTAAGCTAGACAATATTTGTTAGTTATTTGATTTCTCCTCCATTTAAAGACGAGTACAAGTGTTCACTTGCAAAAACTAACGGTTATTTATATTTAATTATTTTATGGAAAAATAATCCAAAAAACTCTACAAATAAAGTCATAAAATGTTTTATAGACAAGATTTTGGCAAGAATGTAGTCTTACTTCTTTGTCAGTAACACTCAGTCCTATTCCATCCATTAAACACTACCTGATTAAAAAATTTGTCAGTGCGGGCAATCTAAGTCTCTGCTTAAGAAGTTTCTGAGCAGAAACTGCTCTTCCCCCATGTCAGACATTTTCCCATATTCAGAAATCTTCTAAGTGTAGGACATATTTTATATATTGAAATGAAACTCTAATGACTTAATTTTATTAATAACTTATAATCATCCTTTTTGCAATGTATCTAAAGCAACGTAGAATAATATATGCAAAAGTAGTGTTAAAGATGGTTCATGCCTATAATCCCAGCACTTTGGGAGCCCGAGGCAGGTGGATCGCCTGAGGTCAGGAGTTCGAGACCAGCCTGGCCAACATGGTGAAACCCCGTCTCTACTAAAAATACAAAAATTAGCCAGGCATGGTGGCGGGTGCCTGTAATCTCAGTTACTCGAGAGGCTGAGGCAGGAGAATTGCTGGAACCCGGGAGGCAAAGGTTGCAGTGAGCCCAGATTATGCCATTGCGCTCCAGCCCAGGTGACAACAGTGAGACTCTGTCTCGGGAAAAAAAAAAAAAAGTCACAAAGAAATAAATGTAACACATTCCAGTGTGTCAACCTATGCTCTGCACAAAACTTTGTTCTATATTTGTATTTTGATGCATCACTTACACTCGTCATGAAAATGTCCCTTCTAATCAAAAAGAGAAATCAGAAGAGATATATAGCAATTTGCATCACTGAGTCATGCAATAGAAGAAATTATAATGCAATAGGCAGAGACCATAAAGTCAGAGTGTAATGAGATATTTAAGACTTCTGATAAGAAGAAGTAGAATGACATTGTTAGATCTATGTTTTGTTAGAGGCACTACAAAGGAAGGCAGAAGCTAGCAACTTCTTTGCTTGTTTTTGAAACAAAAAGGTTATCAGAAAAATTTAAAAAGATATATATATATATATATATATTGTTACTAGAAGGCTATATCAACCTCACAAATGTAATTTTGAGTTTCAAGAGCAAAAAATAAATGTTCAATCAATAATATTTGATAAAAACATGTGTGCATGTATGTATGGACACATAGATACACACACAAACACACAACTATATATATATACACACACACACACACACACAAATACTATTTTCCTAATATGTCAATTAATTTTGGAGTAGTTTTTAATTGTTTAGCAGTATTTAAACATACACATACTTACCCACGTTTAGAAACAACAAATCATCATACCTACCATAAAACAGTTTAGTTTAAGTCTAACTTCAGTAATTCACTAGTTATAGTATCTTGGGCAAGTCATCTATTTTCTGAAATAAATAAATAATAAATATATTTTACTCAATTAAAAGATGAACTATGTTTATATGGTTGACTTAAATACTTGAAACTTGAAGGTTGTTTGCTTTGTTAGAAAATACTTTCTTCTCTAACAGATACTTTTGTAGATCATGAAAATTATTGAAAAGAGGTATATTTCTTCTTTAACACATATCTTTATGCCTTTTGGTTGCAGTATGTCCAAAACTATTTAAGGCAGTTTACAAATTAAAATATGACAAGATAAAAACAAATTTTAAATAGTGAAAAAACTGAAAAAAAATATAGTACAAATAGAAAAATTAGATGGATGGCATAAATTAATTTAGAAGGCAAAATACCATGAAATCTTATATACCTGGAACAAATTATTCAATACTTGGTCCTAAGATTTCTAGAAGCCACATGGGGAAAAAAATAAATATTTCTGTGACTATCATGTCAATCCAAAAGTTACTAAAAAATGTAGCAATTATCCTCTTTACAGATATCATATAAATAATTTCTCCTTCAGGCTATAATACAGAGACATAATCATTGTGCGAGGAAGAGGGTAATGTTTTCATCTTAAACATAGTAATAATATCCATTAAGTTTCTTATAAATGTATTCCTTCAATGTGAACAAAGCTAAGCCCATCATTTTCACAGAGGCCAGTACGTTATAGTTCAGGTTAATCTCTGAAGAATCACCCTTATTGTCCATACATAGATGCTAAAGCAATGGCTCTTAAACTTCTTTTGACAGTGATCAAAAATAAGAAAAATATTTTACATTGTTGAAGCACAGAAAACAATAGCCTCAATTTATCTAGTATTTGGAAACTATTTGTATTTATAATTATGGAACTATAGCTATTTGCAAATGTTCAATAAAAATTTGTTTTCTTTTATAACCGGACACAATTGGAGACACTGGTTATTTTTACCAAGGGTTTAAATGGAACAATATATTTTCAGATAGGCTCACATTGCTTTGAGGAATTAAAGTTGACTTTATAGAACCAATAAAAAGCTACTTGGAAAGACTGGCCTGATACCCTGTATACATGGTTCCTTTACAGGGTTCCTGACCTGTGGTAAGTAAAGAATGTCACCTGCTGATAGGACCAGGAACCTCAAGTTACTTTGGGACCTCGAGAAAAGAGAAATTCAACCAATTCATACAGGTATTTATACACAGTCTGATGGCAATTCCTTGGCTTGGCTTCCCAGCCTCAAGGGGCTTTTGAAAATCGAATCTGAAATTCCTTACAAAAGTTCCAGCAAAGCCAATTTTTAAAAGCTGATATGACCAGTCACTATTTTTGCTGCACTTTATGCAAATAATTCAGGACGAGGATTATAAGACTAAAATATATTTTGCAAATAAACTGGTCCTATTGTGATTTGTCTTTGATAGAAATGAGAAACTGGAAAAAGAAAAAATATGTCTCAAAATGAAACTATAGTACATCTGTTATTAGATTCTAGCTTTGTTCATTGGTTTTGAGTTATTATTATTTGCCTGCAATTTGGACTGAATTCTGATTTCTTCTCTGGCTACAAGTCTCCAAGCTAATGTTTCCATTTTCTCCCTATTTTTCTGACTTAAAATCATTTAAATTAAAACTACTTTTTTTCTGCAGCCCTACAAGCTGAATCTAGACAACTTGATACGAATTTTGGAAAAAAATCACTATAGCAACTTAATATATGAATATCCTTCATGGCTGTTGATGTCTAGAATACTCAGAAATTTCACTAGAGACCTGATGCAAACTGCAGACCAGGACAAATCTGTCAGAGTGCCACTGTCTGCTGTCCTTTCATCTGAAGGTCCTTCAAGCCCAATGTCTAAAAATGTTGATGGGTAGGGTCCAGCCCTACGGGGCTAAGCGGGTGTTCTCCCCGTGTGTGGAGACGAGAGATTGTAATAAATAAAGACACAAGACAAAGAGGTAAAGAGAAAGCAGCTCAGCCCAGGGGACCACTATCATCAAGATGCGGAGACGGGTAGTGGCCCCGAACGGCTGGGCTCACTGATATTTATTGCATGCAAGACAACGGGCAGGGTAAGGAGGGTGAATCTTCTAAGTGATTGACAAGATGAAGCAAGTCACGTGATTACAGGATAGGGTGCCCTTCCCTCTTACGTAGCGGAAGCAGAGAGAGAAGGCAGCATACGTCAGCGTTTTCTTCTATGCACTTATAAGAAAGATCAAAGACTTTAAGACTTTCACTATTTCTTCTACCGCTATCTACTACGAACTTCAAAGAGGAATCAGGAGTACGGGAGGAACATGAAAGTGGACAAGCAGCGTGACCGTTGAAGCACAGCACCACAGGGAGGGGTTTAGGCCTCCGGATGACTGCGGGCGGGCCTCGATACTATCCAGCCTTCCACAAGAAGCTGGTGGAGCAGAGTGTTCCTGACTCCTCCAAGGAAAGGAGACTCCCTTTTGCGGTCTGCTAAGTAACGGATGCCTTCCCACACACTGGCATTACCGCTTGACCAAGGAGCCCTCAAGCGGCCCTTATGCAGGCATGACAGAAGGCTCACCTCTTGCCTTCTAGGTCACTTCTCACAATGTCCCTTCAGCACCTGACCCTATACCCGCCAGTTATTCCTAGGTTATATTAGTAATGCAACAAAGAATAATATTAAAAGCTAATGATCAATAACATTTATAATAATGACTGATAATTGTCCATGACCATCTCTATATCTAATTTGTAATATGACTATTCTTATTCTAACTATTTTCTTTATTATACTGAAATAGTTTGTGCCTTCAGTCTCTTGCCTTGGCACCTAGGTAATCTTCCGCCCACATGATTGGGCTGTCTTCTAGACGAAAAAACTGAGTTTACAACTTGTTCTACCCATTAAGCTTTATTTTTATTTTGTTTACATAGAAATGCTTCATTATATATCTGATTGTTCAAATCACATGGAGGCCTGACTTTGGTGGTAGCCCATATGCAACACCACTGCCTGAAATGATACAAAACTAGTAACTGTTTAACTGGACTGGTCTATTCTTAAGACTGAGAGACTGGTTCAATGGTTTATAAGACAATCCACCAACCCATTTTCTGGACTGTAAAACTTCTTGGGATAGTTTTTATACCAGGAAATTTTGGGGGCTCAGATAATAATATTCCAAAATGAAGGCTTCAAAAGCTGGTTCAGAAGCAGAAGTTTTTCTCTGACCTTCTATTCTCTTGTCTCTTGAGTTCCATTCTCTACCGAGGCTAGCCATAGAAACTTGTACCTCTCTTCCTCAAGGCAGGTCATAGAAACCAGAATGCACATTTCCACAAAGCCAGTCATAAAGCCAAAAGAATATTATTTCAATTTTCCCTCTACCTTTCTTCATAAAAACTGGTCACAAAGAAATTATATGACCCACCTTGTTTGCCTGTAAGTCATAAGGCCTCCATTCCAAAGGGAGTCCTTCCCCACAATGAGAAGAAGGAATGCATGCTCAGACGTGGAGAGTAATTTAGACAGACAGGCCTTGCTAGCAAGGCTGTCATTTCTACATAGCTGTTCATACTTTGTTGAAGCTATGCATAAAAATGGACAATTTCTTCTGTATCTTTGGGTCTTCATTCTGGAGTCCCCTGTGTACCCACATTAAATAAATTTGTATGTCTTTTATCTAATGTATTTTTCTTATAAAAGCTGACTTTTCGGCAAACCTTCAGAGAGCCAAGGGGAAAGTTCTCCTTGGCTCCTACGACATCATGATCTGGTAAAAACATATGTACATATACATTTACACATACCCAGCCAACAGATATTTTAAGAAAAAATTATGTTTATAATATTTTATAATATATTCTATTTTATTAAATGTATGCTATCAAATTATATTGACTTTATGAACCACTGATGGGCCAATCACCACAGCATGAAAAATATTATATAAGATGATATGTAAAAATAGATATAATAAAATCCTGCATAACTAGAATCATTGACAGTTAAGCTATTGAAATATCATAAAAAGGTTGTATTAGTCAAGGTTCTCCAAAGAAGCAGAACCAGTAGATTTATTTATTGCGAGGCATTGGCTCACAAGATTGTGGAGGCTGGGAAATTGTTAAATAATCTACTGTCTGTAGGCTGGAGACCAAGGAAGGGTGATGTAATTCAGAATGAGTACAAGGGCAGAAGATAAAGTGAATTGTCCCAGCTTAAGTAGGCAGATAGGAAGTAAAAAGGGATAGATTCCTGCTTCAGCTGCCTTTTGTTGTATTCAGGCCCTGGATGGATTGGAGAGGGAAAACTACTTTACTGAGTTCAGAGATTCAAATGCTAATCTCATCCAGAAACACTCCCATAGATACACACAGAAATAATGTTTATTCTGTGCACCATAGCCAGTCAAGTTGATATATAAAACTAGCCATCACAAAGGTTATAACTATTCTCTTGAATTAGTAATTGAGCCACAGACTTTAGTGATCAGGTGGGGGTAGGACTGCTTATATTTCTGCCAAACTATATCCTAATTGATTAATGCACCATTATGCACTCTCTTACATGAAGCCATTGAACATTCAATTCCCTTGTTTCTTCTACCTGCGTGGGATTTCCATTTGATCTCTCCTGGCAGGCTTCTGTTCCTTCAGGTTTCCCCCTCAACTATTGCCTTCTCAAAAACATTTTTTTTTTTGGACAGGACTAAGTAAGTCCCAGTCTCTATCCCTTCTACCCCTGCTCTCCATTAATTTATATTCTATGCCAGCACAAATATGTTTTTCTCATAGCATATTATAGTTGAGAGATGCCTTATTTTCTAGTTTGCTAATTTTTACCCACATGGAATTAAAATTGCTCATCAGCTGATTTAAAGAGATTATCCTGGATTATCCAGATAGACCCAATGTAATCAAAAGGGGACTTTACATGCAAAAGGGGAAGATGGTGATGCCATATGAACAATACATGTGTAATGCCATACGAAAAAAATCTGTGTCATATGAAAAAAAGTTTGTTGTAGTTTGTTACAGTAGCAACCAAAAACTAATACATGTTTTGAAAAGGTATGACCATATAAAGCACAAACGTAAATTATTAGTTCTGTATTTCTAGCTCTCCTTATCCCCAAAACTACCTTAACATAGTCCTAATTAACAGTGCAATGGGTTTGTTACAATTCTATAAAATTGATTTTTCACAATTAATAGCCTAACACAGAGATATTTCAACACAGTAGACTTTATAACACCCCAAAGAGCATATTTATTCATATTTTAAGCTTCATGTTATATTGCATTTTAAAATACATTTCAAAGGTAGAATTAATGAGAAAAAAAACTATTAAATGTTTCATGTTTTTTAAAGTACATTGCCACAATATTTTCACAAGAGGTACCAATTTTTCCTGCCACCAACACTCTGCATCAGTTTTGCCACATACTTGATAGTATATTATCACCTTTGATTTTTAATGTTGCAAATTAATAGATAATAAAATGATACGTATATGAAGTTCTAATAATTTACTTTTCTGTATTAATAAGTGAAGTGTTCATAGTTTTACATGATTTTTGTGGACTTAACAATTACTTTCTGAGTTTCCTATTGATGTTCTTTTCTCATTTTCAAACTGCTCATATTCTCTCCTTGAAGATTAACTTCAAGGATATTTGCATTATTAGCAATTCTTGTGAGTAATGGTCCATTTTTCATTCTTTGATTACGGAGTGGATATTAAAGGGAAAAATCCATTTGTTCCACACATTATGAAGATAGCTTATTCATCCATATTTAGCATTCAAAAATTATTTAACAGATAGAGTTTGTGAGTTGATTAACAATAAACATAATAAACTAAAAATTACCATTGTCAAAAAGAGTACCTAAAAAATAAACAACTTTGCTTACTTTATATATTTGCTTTATTTTGTTTATTTCTTTATTTTTTAAACCAAAGCCACTGAAACAGAAACAGCCCTCAGGTTATGCATGGATAACTATCATTTTTATATTTTGCCTCGTTAACTCATTGTGATTAATAATTGGAAAGAAAGGGAATTATTCATATTTAGAACCATTTATTAAGCACTCCATATGTCAGACACTATGATGAGTTCTGGAAAAGTCAGCAACAAATAATATAGTCTCTCAAGTCATTCAGTTTAGAGTGAAAAACAAAATATAAATTTTAAATTGAGTCATATCACAAGTTTTCAACTGTGAAATATGTGCATGATGCCATTATTTTAAATTGGAGATGCTTGACTTAGGAATAAAAAACGTGATTTTTGAATTAAGTTTTAAAGAATAAGAATCAGGCCAGCAGGTATGGTGGTTCACGCCTGTAATCCCAGCACTTTGGGAGGCCAAGGCGGGTGGATCACGTGAGGTCAGGAGTTCGTGACCAGCCTGGCCAACATGGTGAAACTCCGTCTCTATTAAAAAAAAAACACACAAAAATTAGCCAGGTGTGGTGGCACACACCTGTAATCCCAGCTACCTGGAAGGCTGAGGCACGGGAATCACTTAAACCCAGGAGGCGGAGGTTGTAGTGAGCCAAGATTGCACCACTGCACTCCAGCCTGTGTGCACAGAGTGAGACTCCGTTTCAAAAACATTAAAAAAAGAGCAAGAATCAGAATCAGAAAGAACTTCAAGAGACTGAAGGCAACTCCAGACAGAGGAACCAGTAGGAGAAAAAAAACGCAGCAACATGAGAAAGAGTCATGACTGACAAACCACAAGATTTTAACATGTCTGGAGTTCAGTGTATGTGTGAGGGAAGTATAGGAATGGAGCAGGAAGCATTTAGATGTTTTCAGACTATTTATATCCTCATATGAAAAGAACAAAATTAAACTTTTATTCTATGGGTTTTGTGGAAGGTTTTAATCCTTATAAGCAGGAGAATGTCATAATCAGATTTGATTAGGATATACTAATTTAGTAACAATGCATAGACATGTTTTGAGTAGGAATCTTTGGACGTAGACTAAAAAAGATGTCTCTGGCTGCAGTGAGCTGAGATCACAGCACTGTACCCCAGCCTGGGTGACAAAGAGGACCCTGTCCCAAAGGGAAAAAAAAAAAAAAGAATGCCTCTGAATTAAGTAGTGACATACTGAGGCCTCTCACCTCTTAAAACATATTTCAGAAGTGCTGAAGTCACTAGTAGATCTATAAATACAGTGACCATGTAATTTATTCTCCAAACTGAGATACTTTGGAGCATAAAAAGGATATTATTAATAATTACAACAGATTGACAGGAATACACTAAAACTTTTCTGGGTAGGTTAAAATACATGGTTATTTTATCTCTAATGACTTCATCTATCATTTAAGATCCAGCAGGAAATGTATCCACTTTCTGTTCATGAATAAAATATCTGTAGAGTTAAGGCACTGAAGACACAACAGAGGGGAGAGTCAAGTGAATAGCCTTTGGGTAGGTTAATTTACATGATGCTTTGGGGAAGACTCCTAAACACAGCAAAGAATCTGAAAGCAGTAGCATTGGAAGGAGTGTTTCAGCTGCTCTGATCAGATGGTTGTAGGGCCTGCACATTCTGATCCTGTGTGAGACTCCATCTCATTCTTGTTGGAACTATCTGGGGCAGAGGGAATAATACTTATTTCTTACCTGAGCAGATGTTGCATATTCAAATAAATGGATATAAGTAATTTTCATTTGCAGCCCAAGGAAATGAGGAAAAGATGTTTCCCCAGGATTTAAACTTTTAAGAAACAAACTAAATTTGATACCTCTTGTGAGCCTGGCTTCCTAAGTTCAGTTACCTATCTCTATCATTTGAATAACACATGGCCCTGTCAGGAAGGAAAAGAGAGTATTTATTAGTACCTAATCTGTCCTCTCTGGACACCTAGTTCCTAACAGCAGGGTGTCATTTGAACTTACTATCTGTGATTAAGATAGCAACAATTGAAAGGATTATCTTACTTTATAGAAGCAACACAATGTTTAGTTGAGAATAACAAATCCACATTATTTAATGGTTTAATTGTACACAACAAATAACGTTGTACACAATAAATAAAATATATGTAATTTGCTAAAAATATTATCTTGAAAAAAATGTATATCTTTATTCACAAAGTTTATCAAATAGTTACCTTAAACAGCTAGATAGTTACATTTAGGTACACAAGAACAGATATATGCACATACACAGACATACATACATATAGAAATATACACAACAAATAAGTGTTTGTAGGCAACATCCATTAATGTAATCTCTTTAGTCCTACTTTTCTTAAGGAATGGCAAAAGATAACAAAAAATATTGTTAAGAGGAACGCCTACGGCTAATTTTCTCTGTATTCCTTGATCAACTTCTGTATTCCAATAAGCAGAAGAGAATGATACAAATAGTATACTCTCTTATTATCTTTTTTTATTTTTGTTTCCTTTATTTATGTCTCTTATCTTCCCAACCAGAAGTAATTTCAAAACATATGAATCATTCAACTTTGAAGATATTGTTACTGGGAAGTGCAAGAATCCTCAGTTATTTGTCTTACTTGGAGAAAGCATTCTCCCAAGGGACTGATATAGCTAAAAAGAGAATATGCTAAAAGAATAGCGAGCAGAGACAGTACATTAAAGGGACAGTACACTCTGCAAAGATGAAGCAGAGCGGGCTGCTGAATGGAGTGATCCAACAGCTTGCGGGTCCTGCATTGGGTTTTTATTACGTCGGACGTTAAAAAATTCCCGCCTCTGTCTTAGACTTCCACCTTTTTCCTTTGTTTAGTTTACCCACTCCTGTCTTAAGTCTCTGCCTTGTTCCCACCTAGCTCCCCCACCAGGCTTGTGGGACTTGCCCTTACGACTGCTGTGCATGTGCAGGCTGGTGCTGGATTCAAATCCTTCCTTTGGCAGCATTGCTCATTACTGCCACTCCAGGAAGATGGTATAGTGGTTAAATTCCACTTATTAGGCCTGCCTATATCTTAGGCATTTCTTCTTTGCCCTCCTTATCAGCAAGTAGCTACATTCTGACAGGTTAATTCCAGAGTGAGTAATTACTGGGCATCTTAATAGGCATTCCTTCCTGCATAGGCATTTCCCTCCCCTCCCCTCTGTTCATATTGAGCACGCCTGTTTCCTGCTGGTTGATGGGGTGTGAGATTCCCCAGACCTCCCATTTCTCAGGGGCTCCCCTCTCCTGCTCATGCCTGCCTCTCTGCCTACTCTAACAAATAGCATGATACCAACATGTAATATGCTGAATGGACGATCAATTCAGTTTTACAGAAATAAGTTGAATTGAAATAATAACAGCAGATTGCTTCGCCCCATGTTCTTAAAGATCGTAACGTTCTTTTTTTTTTTTCAATTGGGAAAGCATTGTTGCTCACATCCTTACAAAAATCCCTTCAACATAACATTTTTTTGTCTATCAGATTTCTTGTAAAAATGGAGTCATTTAATATAGGTGATCCGTTTTCTATAAATTTCTTCTTTCATCACTCTGTAAATTCATCATTAATTTCCTTTTCTTTTGAGCAAACACTTATTGAATAACCAGCTATGCGCTAGGTTAAGCAATGGAAATAAAAAGACTGACACTAAGAGGTCACAGAGGAGCAGGGGAGAAAGACCTTTTAACAATGTGTAGTATAGGTAATGGAAAACGAGTACCCTTGCACAAAATACAAAAGGTAATTACCATTATTGAGTGCCTGCTATTTGCTAGATATTACACAAATCTCATTACAGTCAAGGAGGTGAGTACAAAGCCTTTTGGGAGTAAAAAGAAGAAAATGATTAATTCATCTGATGGAGTTAGGAAAAGCTTCAGAGAGTAACTTTTATTGGAGAAGAGTCTTGAAGAAAGGCTTGAAATTCAGCAAACAGACAATGAATAGAGGAACAACATGAAGAAAGCGTACCATGTGAAGACTCTGATATCCTGTGTGAGAGTTTATAAAACAACGTCTTTGATTTCGGAAATAGCATTAAGAACGTAGGTGAGAAGAGGGTCTGTATAAATTATTATTATATTGAATTATAAAACAGTATTTATGTGTTTGGATACTAGTAACGATGAGAATTCTCTCTTTATAGTATGATGTATTATAGAGATGCCTTCTTCTCCCAATTCATAAATACATTAATAGGATGTTCTACCCTATTATCTAAAACTAAAGTAATTTAAAATTAAAGACAAACACTGTTCTAATAAAAGTCTACCAAAGAATCTTGTGCAAATTATTGTATTCATGACTTATTTAAATATATACACATGTGTATATGTGTGCATTAATATACATATATGTGTTTATATGTATATATTTAAAAGAGTAAAAAAAGTCAATAAATACAGGAACATTAGCTAAGAAATCTCCATATTATATAGATAGAGGAATAAATAGACTTTTTTTAAAAGAGTCAATACTCTCTATGCTACTTTTGATGTAAAAATTATTATTAAGTATAATTGAATTTTACAGGTGGAAATAAGACGGGTGAAATAGGGGAATTCGTTCCATTTCAAATAAGGGTTTTCTTCACAATTGGGGATGTTAATTTAAAATTTTCCTTTAAACTTAAGAAATTTAACTACAAACATCTTGAGATATTGGTGTTTTTATGTGTTTTACTTTTCCTTTATTTGATCATTCATTTTTAGACAGTATTGATTGATACGTTGTTACTTCAGAAGCATAAATTAGCACTAACACCTAATCCTATCATACCTTCTATGCTTTTTCAGTTTTATTACATTCTTAGGTGTTGTTTGTATTAAAACATAAATAAATTAAGCAACCACATTCTGTCTGACTCAGTTCAGCCTGCTTTGACAAAATACCATAGACTGAGTGGCTTAAATGACACACATTTGTTTCTTACAGTACCAGAGGCCAAAAATCTGACGTCAGGATGTAGGCATGTTTGAGTTCTCGATAAATAACCTTGTTTTGGTTTACAGATGGTTGTCTTCTCATTATATCTTTAAATACCAGAGAGGAGAGAGGCATCGAGCTAGTTTTCACCTGTCTCATCTTATAAGGGCACTAATTCAATTAAAGAGGGCTTCACCCTCATCATCTAATTGACACAGGATTTTCTCAGCCACTTTGTTAACCAGGGATCTCCACAGCCAGCAGTATGCCCCTACCACCTAGGCCTCGCTTAGCCCTGGGTCTGCCACTGGAGACGCCGTACCCACTTGGTTCACCTGTGTTAAAGCTTGTTCCCATGTTCAGCAGTCCTGAGCTCTTGTCCTGGATCCAAAAAGAATGAGGATACATGGTCGGGTGCAGTAGCTCACACCTGTAATCCCAACACTTTGGGAGGCCAAGGCAGGCATATCACAAGGTCAGGAGTTCAAGACCAGCCTGACCAACACGGTGAAACCCCGTCTCTACTAAAAATACAAAAATTAGCCAGGCATGGTGGCTTGCACCTGTAATCCCAGCTACTCAGGAGGATGAGGCAGGAGAATCGCTTGAACCTGGGAGGCGGAGGTTGCAGTGAGTAGCACTCCAGCCTTGGCAACAGAGCGAGACTCCGTCTCAAAAGAAAAAAAAAAAAAAAAAAAACAGAATGAGGATAGAGTGACGATTTGAAGGGCTAGTATGGGCGGTATTAAGCTGTGGAACAGCTCTCAGCAGAAAGGGGGCGTGGGATCCCGCACCCCCACAGTCAGGTGGTTTCTCTCCCAGTGTGGCTAGGTCCAGGGCTTTGTACGGACCCAGAATGAGGAGTGCATGCTGATTGGTTTGTTAGAATGCAAAAAAAGGTTAAAGCAAAGACACTACTCAAAGTTGGGCACAGCATGTAGAAAGCCAATTAAGAAAGGGTAGGCATATGTAATACAGGTGAAGGATGGGGATCAATCAGAGAAAAGTATGCCAAAGGGGAAGACATATTCTCAGTCTGGTCCATGGGTTTACCTGGAACTTGTAGCCAGGCTTTACACCATCTTCACCTTGAAGGTCAGGTTTCACTGGGGCCCTACCCTTATCTGCCCAGCCATTTGTCTCCTGCTGCTATCATAATGACCTCCCAAAGGTCCCACCTCCTAATACCATCACGTTGAAATTAGAATTTTGACATTAATTTGGGGGTGAATGGAAACATTCAGTCCATAATGCCTTCTATAATATAATTATAATTATTCTTTAATGGTGATTCTATAGTTAAAAGGTTTTAATGTTGACCACCAGCAAACTTTTGATGTTGCTTCTCCATTGCAAATAAATTTAAATGTTTTAATATTTATTTTTATATAAGTATTATGTACATACAACAAAATGCAAAAATTTTAAGTACACAGTTAATGAATATTTATGAAGTCAATACATCAGTGTAATTACCACCTAGATCAAAAAATACAGCACCAGAGCTGTCTTTGTTTCTCTTCTAGTCAATATCATATTTCCAAAGAAACGAATGTTCCAGTTTCTATTACCAAAAACTCACTTCTCCTATACTTCTATTTTATGCTAATGGATTCATACAATATCAGGCTTATCTTCATTCCGTATTATGTCTGTAAGATAGATCAGTTTTACAGTGCAAAGCAGTACATATAATTATATTTTCTGACAATTCCAGAGCTTATGTATACATTCTGTTGTTTATGGACTATTTTAACTCTAAGACACTTGTGAATGATGTTCCTACAGTCAACATTTTACACATATGTACGCATTTATTTTGTGTCTATGTCTGAGAATGGAATTGCTGGATCACAGATTTCACAAGTGTTAACCATTAACAAGTGTGTTTGTTTGTTTTAAAAGGTGAGCCATTACCTATCTAAATTCCTAATAATACCATGTCAGAGTTCCAGGGGTGATGTCAGCAAGGTGATGGAATAGGAAGCCCTAGACCTCATTTTCCCATGGCAACACTGATTAAATGATACATGGAGCAACTTCCTTTGTGAGAAATCTTGAAACCTGTTGAGAGGTTCCTGTACCACTAGGCTTATGCAAAACTAGCTGTACCATGGCTCTCATGGTAAACTCATGGAAAACTCATGGCTCTCATTTGCCAGAGTCCCTCCCCCTACCACAGTATGATGTCATCGATATCACACTTCCCACCTCCAAACTTCTCCATAGAGAGGGAAGGAGAAGACTAGAATATGTCTATGTTTAGGATTTTGTGGGACTCTCAAAGCACTGTTTTCTGTCTTGACTGAATCTAAGCATTGACAAAAAATTGTACCATATTTGGGATCACTGAGAACAAAAGCAATGGTTTAAGTTACTAAATATTTACTAACCATTGCTTCTCTCCCTGATTCAGAATGAAGTGAGTTGGAGAAAAATCCCCAACTCCTGGCTTTACCCTAGGGAGAGAAATAGTTGGAGCGTGCGTCAAAATGTATAGCTTTTGGGGAGGCTGCCTAAGGGACTTGTTTCTGTGTTGCCTGACTTGGGCCATGTATAGGGCCTGGCATACTCTAGTTGCCTGGAGGCTGCTGAGAACAAAAAGAGATCTGGGTGTCTTGATGCTACTCCAGAGGACCCAAAATACAATAGAAAGAGGCTGATAACACTTGGCAGTTTTACCCTCAAGAAGAAAAGGGAAGCATAGAATGTGTATTCAGTATTTTAGCTTTCTGAAGGGCTGACTGAAGAATGGATTTCTGTCTTGCCTGTCTCAGAGCACTATTCAGCACAGTACTGAAATCCTACCCAGAGCAATTAGGCAAGAAAAGGGAATGAAAGGCATTCAAATGGAAAGGGAAAGGAAGAAGTAGAATTATCTCTGTTTTCAGATAATATGATCTTATATATAAAAATCTTTATCAATTACAACACACACATTAGACTAATAAACTCAGCACAGTTTCAGCTTAAAATCATCAACATCCAAAAGCTAGATGAATTTCTATATACTAATAATCATCCATCTATAAGGGAAATTAGAAAACAATTCCATTTACTATGTCATCAAAAAAAAAAAGGATATACTTAGGAATGCACTTAACTAATTAAGTAAAAGATTTACACTGAAAACTAGAAAACTGCTGAAAGAAAATTTAAGACCTAAAAAAATGACAATAAATCTCAAATTAATGGATTGGATTACCTAATACTGTTAAAATGTCTATACTACTCAAAGCAATCTACAGATTCAGTGCAATCCCTGTCAAAATCCCAATAGATTTTGGCAATTCAAATAGAAAAGTTTTTCAGCATTCAAATAGAAAATACTTTTTGTACAGAAAATATAATTCTAAACAGAAAAAAAACAATTTTAAAATTCCTGTGAAACCATTAAAAAACCCAAAGAGCCAAAACAAGAGGAACAAAACTGGAGGCATCACACTTTCTGACTTCAAAACATATTACAAAGCGATCAAAATCAAAGCAGTATGGTTCTGGCCTAAATACAGACATATAGAACATTGCAACAGAATAGAGAGCTCACAGATAAACCCATGCATATATATTCAACTGATCTTTGACAAGGGTTCTGAGAATACACATTAGGGAAAGGAGAGTCTGTTTTACAAATGATGCTGGGAAAACCACATGCATACAAATGTACCTGGACCCTAATCTTAGATAATATACAAAATCAACTCAAAATGGCTTGAAGATTTAAATTTAAAATCTAAAACTATAAAAATTCTGGAAGAAAATGTAAGGGGAAAACATCATAACCTTGTTCTTGGCAATGATTTCCTGGATATGAAATCAAAAGCACAGGCCACAAAAGCTAAAATAGACAAATGGGAACATGTCAAACTGAAAAGTTCCTGCACAGAGAAGTAAGCAATCCACAGAGTATAAATGCAACCTACAGAATGGGAGAAAATATTTGCAAATCATATATCTCAGATATCTGCTAAGGAGCTACCCAAAATGTGCAGAAAACTCCTACAATTCAGTGGCAAAAAAAAACAAAAACGGATTTTTTAAATGAGCTAAGGACTTGAATAGACATTTCTCTAATGAACGCATACAAATGACCAACAGGTATATGAAGAAATGTTCAATATCACCAATGATGAGGGATTCATCATTGTCAATACTTAGTATTTATTTTTTTAAATTACTTTTGTTGGTGTGTACTGTTATTACTATTTTACTTTAACTTTTTGGACCATCTTGTTTATCTCATGGCTTACTGAATTTTAGCTTAGTATGGTTTTATAGCTCTATATTTTTCTGTTTTACCTCCACCCCAGACATTGTCTTTTTTTTGTATTTCCATGCATTATAATTCATAATTATTATTATATGTAAGACATACAATTTGAATAATAAAAATGATAACAAAATAATTTTCTAACAACCCAGCTTAAAAAACCCAGGTTAACCAATAACTTTCCATTCACAATTTCCCCTAATTCCATTCTCCTTTTGTCTTTTACATAGGTAGGTATTTTGGTAAATTTTGTGCTTATTCTTTTGTCTGTATGATTTTATTACAATCTGCAAGAAACTTTCAATATTGTATTGTTTAGTTGTTTAAGATCAGATTTACTTAAATCTATATTTTGATATATTTAGCAACTGAATATTTTTCAAGCATCCAGTGCCAAAAAACAAGGCATGGAACATTTCAGTTGACATAACATGTTCTTTCACTCTTTTGAAGTTAACCATCTCTTCTTTCCTTCAGAATCTGGCAACTATTGATCTGATTTATGTCCCTATAGTTTTGCCTTCTACAGAATGTAGTTTATGTACAATACAGTACACAGTCTTTTGTGTCTGGTTTCTTTTACTGAGTATAATGCTTCTGACATGCTTCCATCTTGTTACATGTATTAGTAGTTTGTTCATTTTTGCTGCTGAACAGTAATGCTTGCGCATGTGAGTTGCAATTTGTTTAGTATTGTTTAGCAACTGCCAAGCTCTCCAATTTATATTTTAAGCCATTACTATCTATGGTTGAATTTAAGTACATAGACCCACGATTCCTACCGATACCCCAAAAGTTATTTCTCGCATCATTTTCATTATATATCCATGAGTTCGGAATAATTTGATTACTTCCTAGATACATTATCTCATTGGAGGTTTCACAATGGTTATTAAATTAGTCATCTATTGCTGCTTAACAAGTTATCCCGAAACCAAGTGGCTTAATACAATAACCGTTCGTAATTGTTCATGAGCCTTTGGTCAGCTGTATGGTTCTACAGAGATAGGCAAAACTGATCACAGCTGAGCTTGCTCAGGTATTTGAGCTCAGCTGCCAGACTGGCTAGAGCTGGCTGCTCTAGGAAGAGATCTTTCTTCAAACTGTAGGGCTTTGTTCATATGTTGGTGTTAGAGTACACAAACCCAGAACAGAAAAGTACGCAAACCCACATGAGTTCTAGATTGAATTCAGAGTGGAAAATTAAACTCCACTTGTTGATGTGAAAGTCTGTAAAGTATAATCACAAAGGAACATGTTGGATAATTGTGATTATTTTTACAGCCAACCATGGTTATTATTCTTATTCTGTCATTTCATCTGAATTTATAAATTGGAATTTTATATTCTTTCCCTTTTCAATTTATTGTGACCTTGGAATATATATCATACTGAAAAGGCAGAATGAATGTCTAGTTTTGTGTTTGTGTGTGTGTCCAGAGGGTGGGTCTGTGTGGGTGTGTGTATGTGTTTTGTGTGGGGGGTTGTATTTTTTAAGTCAATTTCATAAACAAAGGGTTGGTGCCACAGCAATTTCCAATGCTGACAATGCTTTTGGAGTCTTCTCCCAGATTTGCAGTTATGTCCGATCCACTTCCAATGATTTGACTCAGTAGGATCTTCCCTTTTTAGGGTATATTTTATTGGTGATTTCTGAATTTCAGCATTCTTTCGTTTTCTGTACATTCCTCAGAGCCTGTTTAGATATTTTACGTGTTAATCTACAAGTGTTTGATACAGTTCATCAGGATGGATGTCAGGCTTGTCCTTTTTATGTGCTACAATAATTCACTCAGTCAAGAAAGACATCCTTAGGTCATTTCTGATAGTAATTTAAATATTCTATTCAGACAACTGCATGTGAACTGTAGCATTGATTATATACATAAAATGTATGCTTTATCCCTAGATGTTGCAGACTTTAAAGATTTAGTTTTTCATTTGCTATCCTATAGGTGTCACAAATCAAACTGCTAAAATGGAAAGAAATTGTGAGACAATAACATAGAATTACAATGTCAGATTTTTCACTAGCCACCTACCTCAGGCTTCAGTCCCTGTGGGATATGCACAGAGTGCAAACTTTGCAAATAAGGAATAAGAATATATATATATATTTGCAAGTGGAATGTAACATGAGGCAAATATGTAATTTTAATTTTCTAGAAATGTAGAGAAAATTTAATTTTTCTAAAAATGTAAGTAGAAACAGGTGAAACCCATTTTAATAACTTAATTTGCTTGACCCAAAATATATAGGATCAATAATTAATCACTACAGAAAATTATTTTTGAGATATTTTAGTCTTCTTTTTCATGTTCAGTATTTGAAATCGAATGTGTGTTTTAAACTAACAGCACTCCTCACCCTCGAGCCACATATTAGTGCTCCAATGGCCACATGTAGCCAGTAGTAATTATATCACATAACACAATGGAATCTAGAATAAGCATGCATTTTGTATTTCTACAATACCAGTCCATCTTGGGAGTGGCGTTTTAACAGATTCACTTTAAAAATAACAAGAACAACATGAAAAACCTATCATGAAATCAAAACAAATGAACATTACACTTTGTTTTCCAATAGAGCTATTGGTCTTTTTATAGAACCTGATTGTATTATATGACAACTGTGGTAACCGTGTACATAACATAGGTCCACACATTTTACTTATCTCTGAAGATTATACTCAATACTATAATTTCCAGGTTTTCCTGATCATCAAGTACACTTGCATCACTTCATAAAACCGAATTCATTATTCCAAATAATACAGCATAGAAATAGATGAACATTACTTTCCATTCAAAGGATAGGATTTAGTTACAGACTTGGAAATATTTTAAAGCATACTTTTCTATAAAATAGTTTCATAGTATGGATCATTGAACACAACAATGAAGGAAAGGTATCACTGTATCACTGTAAACATTTTAGATGCAATATGAAGTTTGAAATATTTGTTCATCTTGTCTGCTCAGTAAAATATAAGTTTCATTATGAAAGTCAAGGGCCTGTCTGCTAAACACTATAAATTCTTTAGCCCTCAATAGAATGCCATAAACCTGTTGATACAGTTGAGAGAAAAATGGGAATTTGAAAATATAGTTATACTTTACACAGAAGAAATAACACTGTACTGTTGCAGATTGGCTAATCATATTCTCTAATTAAATTAATAAAATAGAAATAACATATGCAGTCCTCTAACATGGGACCCTTCACTTGACTAAATGCCTCTGTATATCATAAAGGATGAGAAACAAAGTAGAAAAAATTTCTTGATAATCATGTGTAAAAACTATTCTAGGCACATTAAGTGTATCTTTACTAATTGTCACTACAATATATAAAGAAATTATCCTTATCCAATTTATAGGTAGGGAAACATGCTTTAACTAACTCTTCCAAGGTCACTAAGCAAAAATACAGTGGATTTTCAGGAAGGATAAGTCTGATTCTGGTGCCCGAGCATTTCTATTACCACTTAATATATTTTCTTTTATAATTAACTGACCTTACATTTCAAATAAATATTGGAAAAAAAAAGATTTGTAAAAAGTAGGCACAGTTGGTGCTTCGGAATTGAGAGTCACCAATTTGCAGGCTAATAAATCTAAGAACCCAACTGTTAGTCTCATTGGCAGTAATGGAGCAGCCACTTTAGGTTCTGCATTTTTGGTTAATTAGAACACTTCTCAGGTGGTAAAATTGATAGCCTTCAGCATGGTATGCTTTAAGACCACCTGAGCCATGCTGTTATCATTCAGAAATGCACTGCCTGCCAAATACTACTGATTAATCTACATAATTATCTTAGCACTATAATTATTGAATTGTCTTTCAGGTAGGATATAAAAGAAAAAACTAAAATACATACTTCTAAAATGTTTTGTTTTAGAGTTTCCTTTATCTTGTCAACACTTTAGGAATAACAGAATTTACCGAGTGCCTCTACATTGAGTTAATAATACAAATATAACATTAACAACAACAAAAATAAAGTATCAATTACTGATGTTCCAGTCATGCCAATTAGATCTTTACATCAGTTATCTTGGTTTATTCCTTGAGCCTACTTGATGTTGTGGTAACCATTCTCATTCCAGTTTTCCAGATGAGCAGACTGAATTTAACAGTGTAATAGAACTGCCCTAAATCATACAAACTTTAAACGTTTGGCTGAGATTCCAAACCATAGTCTCACTCTTGCAGTCTTTCTTTTTTTCTTTTTTTTTATTATTATTATACTTTAAGTTTTAGGGTACATGTGCACAACGTGCAGGTTATTACATATGTATACACGCGCCATGTTGGTGTGCTGCATCCATTAACTCGTCATTTAGCATTAGGTATATCTCCTAACTCTATCCCTCCCCCCTCCCTCCACCCCACAGCAGTCCCCGGAGTGTGATGTTCCCCTTCCTGTGTCCATGTGTTCTCATTGTTCAATTCCCACCTATGAGTGAGAACATGCAGTGTTTGGTTTTTTGTCCTTGCGATAGTTTGCTGAGAATGATGGTTTCCAGCTTCATCCATGTCCCTAAAAAGGACATGAACTCATCATTTTTTATGGCTGCATAGTATTCCATGGTGTATATGTGCCACATTTCCTTAATCCAGTCTATCGTTGTTGGACATTTGAGTTGGTTCCAAGTCTTTGCTATTGTGAATAGTGCCACAATAAACATACGTGTGCATGTGTCTTTATAGCAACATGATTTATAGTCCTTTGGTTATACACCCATTAATAGGATGGCTGGTTCAAATGGTATTTCTAGTTCTAGATCCCTGAGGAATTGCCACACTGACTTCCACAATGGTTGAACTAGTTTACCATCCCACCAACAGTGTAAAAGTGTTCCTATTTCTCCACATCCTCTCCAGCACCTGTTGTTTCCTGACTTTTTAATGATCGCCATTCTAACTGGTGTGAGATGGTATCTCATTGTGGTTTTGATTTGCATTTCTCTGATGGTCAGTGATGATGAGCATTTTTTCATGTGTTTTTTGGCTGCATAAATATCTTCTTTTGAGAAGTGTCTGTTCATATCCTTTGCCCACTTTTTGATGGGGTTATTTGTTTTTTTCTTGTAAATTTGTTTGAGTTCACTGTAGATTCTGGATATTAGCCCTTTGTCAGATGAGTAGGTTGCAAAAATTTTCTCCCATTCTGTAGGTTGCCTGTTCACTCTGATGGTGGTTTCTTTTGCTGTGCAGAAGCTCTTTAGTTTAATTAGATCCCATTTGTCAATTTTGGCTTTTGTTGCCATTGTTTTTGGTGTTTTAGACATGAAGTCCTTGCCCATGCCTATGACCTGAATGGTATTGCCTAGGTTTTCTTCTAGGGTTTTTATGGTTTTAGGTCTAACATGTAAGTCTTTAACCCATCTTGAATTAATTTTTGTATAAGGTGTAAGGAAGGGATCCAGTTTCAGCTTTCTACATATGGCTAGCCAGTTTTCCCAGCACCATCAAGTTACCAATGACTTTCTTCACAGAATTGGATAAAACTACTTTAAAGTTCATATGGAACCAAAAAAAAGCCTGCATTGCCAAGTCAATCCTAAGCCAAAAGAACAAAGCTGGAGGCATCATGCTACCTGACTTCAAACTGTATTACAAGGCTACAGTAAACAAAACTGCATGGTACTGGTACCAAAACAGAGATATAGACCAATGGAACAGAACAGAGCCCTCAGAAATAATGCCGCATATCTACAACTATCTGATCTTGCATTCTTATTAATTGTACTTTTAAAGTTGTTAACAGCTTTAAAGTTAGGAATTTCTCTACGTAACTACCAACATATTCATTAATAATTTAAGAAAAACAAAGTAAAAAGTATCATCTGCTATTGTGTATATTAATATGAATTATATATATGGTTTTTTTTTTTTTTTTGAGATGGAATCTCACTCTGTCTTCCAGGGTGGAGTGCAGTGGCGCCATCTCAGCTCACTGCAAACTCTGCCTCCCAGGTTAAAGTGATTCTCTTGCCTCAGCCTCTTGAGTAGCTGGGATTACAAGCGCCCACCACCACACTCGGCTAATTTTTGTATTTTTGGTAGAGACAGGGTTTCACCATGTTGGTCAGGCTGGTCTTGAACTCCTGACCTCAAGTGATCCTCCCACTTCAGCCTCCCAAAGTGCTGGGAGTACAGGCATGAGCCACCGTGCCTAGTCAATATGAATAAATATTAATTTTGCAAAAAGATGCAGGGTTTTAGGTCATACTGATAACACACTTTAAGTCATTTGTAGTGACATCTTAACATTAAATGAGGGTGCTGAACGTTTTATTTCAAATATCATCTTCTGTGATGTTCCCCAATGTAGACAATCATTTTTGTCCACCTGAGAAAGACAACTAAATTGAAAGCTTCTTATTTGAAGTAACTCATTAAACATCTAAAATATATTTTATTGAATTTATGAAATCCTTTTGAATTCAGTTGCTACTTTTACTTACTAATTTTTGGGGTTTAACTAGAACTGTAAGACTATTGGAGTTTCTATGGCCTGAGAAGAGTAGATAAGCTTCAACACTTTGTATTTAGAGGTTGTATGACTTTTAAAAAAATAATTTTAAATAAATGTTTCAATCAGTTATTTATAAAACATCAGTTATTTGAAAGTGTGCTTTTCAAAGCGTACTCTGTCTCAAAAACTATATTAAACAGAAGGAATAGAAATGTGAAGAAGGCAGGAATCATGGAATAAGTAGTTTACAAGCTGGTCCTGGTGGCTCACGCCTGTAATCCCAGTGCTTTGGGAGGCTAAGGAGTTCGGATCACCTTAGGTCAGGAATTCAAGACCAGCCTGGCCAACATGGCAAAACCCTGTCTCTACTAAAAATACAAAAATTAGCTGGGTGTGGTGGTGCATTCCTGTAATCCCAGCTACTCGGGAGGCTGAGGTAGGAGAATCACTTGAACCTGGGAGGCAGAGGTTGTAGTGAAATGAGATTGTGCCACTGCACACCAGCCTGGGTGACAGAGACTCTGTCTCAAAAAAAAAAAAAAAAAATGTTTACAATCAGCAAGAGGTTTACAGACTTGACAATGTGTGATTTCTTCTAAACAAATTCATTAAAAATTTTGGCCCTTTTTTCACAAAATTATTCCCTAAGATCATTCTAAAGACATTTTAACTTCAAGAGCAAGGCATAGAGGTAGATTTAAATGGCCACAAGTACTTTGCAGTTCTTTTCATTAACTTTAGAAGTCTGTTTCCCGACCTCTTAAATTTGACTGGTCCAAACACTTTTCATAACTAATAGAATCTAGCAGAAGTGATGTTGTGAGAGTTCTAGACCTTAAGTCTCAAGACATCTTTCAGTTTTTGCCTTTGCTCTTTTGGATGCGACAGTCAGAATGCTGTGTAAGGGAACTGATGGAGCCTAATGAAGTATGAATGGCCATGTGGAAGATAACTGAGTGGTCCTAGATGACAGCCAGGTACACTGCCAGATTTTTGAGTGAGGTCATTTTTTTTAATGTAACTTTTCTTTCTTTATTTTATTTTATTTTGAGGGGGTCCTATGTTGCCCAGGCTGGTCTTGAACTCCTGGGCTCAAGGAATCCTCTGCTTCAGCCTCCCAAGTAGATTAGATTAGAAGCATATGCCACTGCCCCTGGCAAGCAAGGTCATTTTTGACCTTCCAGTCCAGACAACTCTGCAGCCTAATTCAGCCAATGAATGAACTCAAGATAAGTCAACAGAAGACCCACCTGTCCAGCTCACGGAATCTTGGAAATGATAAATCAGCATTGCTTAAAGACACTAAATTGTGACATTTTTACCTGATAATAATTAATTACCTGGACATTCTAAAGTTTTAAGCGGTTTATGAAATTCAGAGGTTAATATCATAAAGCAGGCTTGGATTTTCATGCCCATCAGAAGTCCTGAGTAGTGGCAGTAGAGTGAATTTTCAGCATTAAGTGAAATGTCCGAAGTCCTGAGGGTATGGAAAAATATATAGGTGTAAACTTTGAAAGTTCTGTTTTTTTTTTCTTTATTATTGAGACAGGGTCTCTGTCACCCAGGCCAGAGTGCAGTGGCACGATCTGGGCTTACTGCAGCCTCCACCTCCCAGACTCACCTCAGCCTCCCAAGTACCTGGGACTACAGGCTTGTGCCACCATATCAGACTAATTTTTTGTATTTTTGGTGGAGATGGGGTTTTGCTATGTTGCCGAGGCTGGTCTCTAACTCCTGAACTCAAGTGATCAGCTCGTCTTGGCCTCCCACAGTGCTGGGATTACAGGCATGAGCCCCCATGCCAGCCTGAAAGTTATTTTCCATGAATCAAAACAAAAACACTCCACTGGTAGATAGATGTTATTAAAAATTTGTCAAAACCCATAGGATGTACAACACCAAAACCAAACCCTTATGTAAACTATGGACTCTGGGTGATAATGAGGTGACATTGTAGGTTCATCCATTGTGACAAATGCATGACTGTGGTGCAGGATGTCAATAGTGGGAAAGGTTGCACATGTGTGGGTGACAGGGGGTCTATAGGAACTTTGTTCTTTCCATTTAATTTTGCTGTGAACCTAAAAATTCTCTAAAAAACTAAAGCTTATTAATTAGAAAAAAACCAAAATAGCAATGAGAACAATAAAAACCACTTGTGTTATGTATTCCCCTTTTAATACATAGAGAGAAATTTACCTTTAAATATAATTAAATTTATAGCCTTGTCAGAATTTAATGAAGTTTAACTGTAATGTGGCACTTAAGGAATATTGCTACATATGCTAATTGATTTTTCTTTTGTACTTCACACTATACAGTTCACAAAATATTCAAAGTGATGTACAAAAAGAAGGGAAAAATGGTATGTACTGCCACTTATACGTGAACACACACAGATACCTGGGGGAAATAATTCATTAGTCAATGAACAGCTCTATATATGCCAACAAACTAGAGTTCTGGGAAGAAAATAATGAATTAAAAGATCACTCGACAAAAATGCTTAATTATTTCAGTACTTATTTCCCCTGATGATATTTAGAAGTGGGAAGAAAAAGATACGCATGAAATGTCTTTGTGTATAACAGAGAGAAAGAAAGAAAGAGAGATTGTAACTGACTATAAGCAGAACAGTTTTGCTTAATTGTATTTCTAGCTACTGTTGTTCATTTTAAATTGCCTAACTGGAGTTCTAGAGCATTGAAAATATTGAGAGGCTCTAGCTGCACAGTCACAGCAATTTTTAACTGAGATAAATTACTAAACATGATCTAAATTTTGCTTTGTTTTGCTTTTGCTTCAAATGTGAAATGATCTTTCATTATTTGTAAATGGAGGAATGTGGAATATGAAAATGAGAAGCATTTTATAGCTACTCAGTAATATGGCACCAACAATGATAAGGTATAATGCTTTAAATAAAATTTAGGGGAATCTTAGTAAGCCACGAAATTGAGTTAAGATTCAATATGCTATGGCTCTTCAAATTATATTACAATGCGATGAGCTAATTTTGAAAAATATTTAATGCCATTCAAAAAACAATTTTAGTCTGGGTGTGGTCACTCACGCCTGTAATCTCAGCACTTTGGGAGGCCAAGGAAGGAAGACTGCTTGAGCTCACGAGTTTGAGACCGGCCTGGGCACCATGGCGAAACCCTGTCTCTACAAAAAACACAAAAATCAGCTAGGTGTTGTGGTGTGCACTTGTGGTTCCAGCTACTCTGGAGGCTGAGGTGAAAGAATGGCGAGAGCCAGGGAGACAGAGGTTGCAATGAGCAGAGATCAGGCCACTGCACTCTAGCCTGGGCAATAGAGCCACACCTTGTCTCAAGGAAATAAAAATTGTCATTTTGATTACTAAAATCATAATGATATTCAACATTTGTTGTGTACTTATTTTGTGCCATGGACTCTTTGAATCTGTTCACATATGTCATTTAATCCTCATAATAATCATTTGAAGTAGATACCAAATTTACATATTGGGAAACAGAGCCATAAATAGAGTATTTAAGGTCACATAGCTACTATATGTTGGCATTGGAGGTTAAACACAGAAAATTTGATCCCATAAGTCTTCATTACAAGGGTTCAAAAGAACATTGTAATACGACTAGCTGGAAACACATATTTTATATACGTTTTTTACTTCCAATGTTTTCTGTGAAGACAAGAGATATTTTGATCAGCATTAACAATTAATTTTGTCGTAAATTAGGTAATAATGAACACTCTTCCTGCTAGACTCGTTTCTTACAGGCTTTTTTCTACCCTAGAAATATTTGTAGCTTAAATAAATAAGACAATAAGTTAACCTAGGTGAGTAAATCAAGCAATACTTATAGTTACATCATTATGGAATCTATGCATTACTACAAATAAATCATGAAGGAATCAAAAAGTAGATTGATAAAATAAAAGAACTTCTCTCTGCATTAAAAAGAAAAGGATATGTCTCCATGGAGGCTGCATAAAAGGAATCAAATTTTAACAGAGGAAATTCATGTTCTTAACTAAGATTGATAGTGCTTAATAAGCCAGAAATTTTAATATGGACGTGTCAATATTCTTTCCTTGTGAAAGAATTTTTGTGTTGTGTTATATCTTCCTAAATTTCCACTACCAAGTTTTTCTTAACTCCTATTTTCACATGGAGCCAACATGACCTTTAGGATCTCCATTACCATATACTACATTGAGCCTGGTTTACTGGTTTATTAATAGTTCTCCTCTTTTTTTGCTTTTGCTTATACTATTACTTTACAGGCTGGAATCTTCACAATTTCTCACATAAGAAAACTTTAAATAATTTGCTTACTCTATTACTCTAGTAAGAATTAGGCTGTTCCTATTGGTTTTTGCTTCCATCACATCATTCTGATCATTCTATGATGGTTTTATTTGACTCAGAAGAAAGCCATCCTAAACATCACTACTTGGTATCACTTCCCCTCATTCCCTATGCTTATCTTACATTTTTCTAAGTAGGCTTTTTCTCTGGGGAAATTGATGCCAGAATTTTCTTCATAAAGAGCGTTTGCCAGTGTTTTACATTAAACACTTTAAAGCATCATAATAATGATAACATTCACAAGGTACTATATTATCACATGTAACCCTTTTGAGATAATTTTGAGTGAGACATTATTTTTCTGACTTTGGAGGTGTACCAAAAACCAAAAAAAAAAAAAAAAAAAAAACCACAAAAACATAAAAACAAACAAACAAAAAAACCACACACACACAGAGAAATTAAGTAACATTCCCAGGGACACACGGATAAAGATGACCAAGCCAAAATTGACTCCAGAGCTTCATAGAACACACCAAGCTTGACAGTACATTCTTCAGAAGATGTCTGAAAAGATGGCCAGTTTTCAAAAGCGTACCTAACAACTAAATCAGTTCCACTTATATTTAGAACCCAAATTTTGACCTCCATGTATGGTTGCCCAAATTCTGATATCCTGACTACTAATCCCCCAGTCCCAATCCCAATTCATGTGTGGACCTTAATCTTCATGTCTGCCTCTTTAAGCGCCCTCCTTTTTTCATCCCATTGAGTCCTTGCTAGTAGAGTTCCAGGTCTTTCTGTCTACCTAAAATGATCATCGATTAAGACTGTCTACCTGAAACTTCTATATTATAGTTGCTATGCTTTATTTATGTTCTTTTTTTAATTATACTTGAAGTTTTAGGGTACATGTGCACAATGTGCAGGTTAGTTACATATGTATACATGTGCCATGCTGGTGTGCTGCACCCATTAACTCGTCATGTTTATGTTGTTTCTTGAGATTGTAATTTTCATCCTTTCTCCCCGGGTCTCTGATACATATATCTTGATCTTGGCTCATTTTGTTCTGTCTTCTTGCTCATATCCTTGAAAATCCATATCACAGGCTGTAATTTCATTAAGTGGGAAACAATTTGTTTATTTTGGGATTTGAGGTCTTAATAATATTCTCATTGTCTGAGCATGTAAAAGTGCCATCATTAGCTGATTGCTGCCTTTGTCCAACTATATTTGAAATTCTCTGCTACTTCTTAAATCTTTGACTTTCTTATATCATGCCTAGAACATTTTTACTCTTTTTTATACATAGTTATATACTTAACTTTGTATTTTATACAGATTGGTGCCTTTATTTTGACAGAGTTCAATGATATAATTTTCAATTACACTGGGCTTCAAGACAATATTTTGGAATATTCTTTATAGAACCTGGCTACCTGAAACATCTCTATGTCTATAATTTGAATTCATGTAATAAAAATGTCATTTTAACTTTATCAGTTTTGCAAAATATGACATAATGAGTCGAATACAGTAATTAAAACATTTCCAAAATATAGGTTAAACCCATTCCTATGGAACCCCAAGGAAAATAACTTCGGGTACACCCAAGGTTTTCCAAAACACTACTTTTACTGTGAAAAGTTTAATGCATTTACATTAATTCGTTTAATGAGACTAACTACATATTTACTAAGGTACATTGATAGAATTAAACAGGCTTTGGAAATGCATTTGTTATTATCTGGCTACTTTTGTTAGTTCCTCAGATGCTAATCAAACTTTCTGCAGGTATTTTCAATTACTATTTAATTATTTTACAGTGTACTTGCTGTGTGCCTCTCATTTAATCAGCAGCCATTGATTTCATCTGTCCAAACACTTCAGATGAGTTTTTTTGGCTCACTTCTCTCAACTCGTGGCACCTCTGAAATCCTCAGCAAATCCTTTGAGATATGATGAAGAAAGCAGTTTCTACAGAACTTCTTGAGTTCTCTCCTCTTTAAAATAGACATTAACACCTGTATGCTTGATAAGAGTATGGTGGTCTTAATCATGCAGCATCCGGATAAACGACACCTAGTGGTTAGATATTTTAAACACGTAAGTGGAGTTAACATGTAGAAGAAATAAGATGTTGGACAATTGAGCTTGTTCTATCATAATAAATAATGTAATATTTTAGGGCTGCTTTATTATAAGAACATAGGCTTATTGTGTAAACCTTCAGAGAGTTGAATAAAAATCAATTTGTAAAAGACTCAGACATGTAGATTTAATATAATTCCACTAAAGAATAAAATGAATAAAATATGAAATAATATATCATGTCAAGAGCTTTTAGTCACCATATTTCAGCTTAATTCAACAAACATTTATCCAGTCCCAACAACAGGCACTATGGCAGTGTGCAAGGAACAAAGATATCAAGATTAATACAGCACAGTATCAAGTCAATGCAGATCTCTGTCTGTGCAACTACCTTTGATCTTAAGATGCTTTCTATTCTATATAGCTATGGGTCCTGACCATGCAGCATCTCATTAACTCCTGCAGTTTTGGCAGTTAACACCGACTATTAAAGCTCCTGTTTCTTACCATAGTGGTTTCTAATAACATTTATCTCAGTTTTGTCACTCTGACCCAAAGCAGTTGAACATGCATAGCTTAATTTTCTTCTGTCCTTATGAGACTAGGCCAAGATAATTTAATAGCACTCTCCTAAAGATTCTAAGATAATAAAAGGATATTATTAAATGGATTATGCAAATAGTTAAGATTAGCAAACGGATTTGACAGAAATTAACATCTACAACTCTGACACATCATGTTTGGGTTTTTACAGCAGGGTTCTCAAGCCTAAATGTTCATTATAAATCATTGTAGAATCTTATGAAAAATGAAGATTTTGTGGTCTGAGGTAGGGTATGATCTCCCAGGTGATGCTGCTTCTGGTTTACTAATGTTCTGTGGACTATTTAGTAGTGAGACCTTCTTAGACGTCTTTCTAACAATCTAAGGGGTTTCTTGTGTCCTGTCACTCTTTCAGTGTCAAAATTCAGTTTCACCTTTGGGTACCCTAAAGCACACATGATCTGCTCAGACTGTAGTTCAGGGTGAATAAGGAAGCAGGAAGAAAATAAATTTCCTTCTCACCCTCAAATACTATCCAACTTCCCAGGTCATATTTCTTGTCCCAAAAATATTTGACAGAATGAATATTTATTTCTATATTAACCAAATTTATCATGTAGTTTTAAAAATCCAAGGAAAGAGATTATTCACAATCAGAACCAAAACCAAAACAAAAAACTCAACCAATCAAACAAAATGTAAATTGATAGTTTCTATTTGAAACTCTTTCCAAGTTAAAGAGCGAGAAGCTCCAGAAATATTTCCTGTTTCTCAAGAGCTTATATAATACCAATATCTGCTCAGTCAAGACAATCCTTATTAAGTCCACTCCAGATACTTTCATCAATCTTTCCTCTTGATTCTGGTAGCGAAAAGACCTGAACAGAGTTTCTGTAGTCTTCTGCAATTGCTCAAAAACAATACAATATAACACAAAGCACTCACCTTTACAGAAGAATAAATATGACTTCACAGGCATAACACAGCCTAAATCCATTCTAAGAAAGAAATATTTTCTGAGGAAATACATACATAGTATAGAAAAACAGAACACTACCAAAACAGATTTAACATTTTATTATTACACAAGTTCTTTAGCTCCTACACATCATAGTTCCTCATCCCCTTCTCGTTCTAATTATTATCCCTGGTTTTCCTTTGCAAAACTGAGTGGTACTTTTCTTGGTCTTTCTGTCTTCTTCACAGGGATTCTAAAAGCTTCACCATACATTATACAGAAAATTACTTACAGATTCTTTCCTATCCCAGGACCTACTGAGATGTTACAGATGTTCCTCCCATTTTTTTCCTCCTACAACCCTCACTCTAAATACAAATATATTGAAATCATAGACTAAAGGTAAAGATGTCTAACCCACAAATGAATTAATATAAAAAAGAAAAGGATGCCTCCAACTTCCATAAATGAAGAGAGATGTAAGTTAGTGGTAAATATATCAACTAATTATATGGTGCTCATAAGGATCAAATAATAACAATAGGAACTAGAAGATAATACCCATTAGAAGACAGGAAAGGTGGAATTAGGCTTATGTAAGGGAGGGTGTTAGAACTAAAGACCCTTTGCTAAAGTACTTTTAAAAGGCTGACATTCACAAAAAATGTAGACATTTACAAAAAAGGTTGGCTTCTCCTTTGTAAAGGAATATTATAGGACCTACTGACTTAGGAAGTGTCAGGAAAACTCTTTATAATTCAGAAATTCATGTATTTTAAAAAAATGCCTTCAGTGAAAAAATGGCTTCATGGGTATGGAATCTCAATTTATATTTCTGATGAGTCAAGAGACCTAGATGAAGAAAATTGGCTTATGAATTGTACTGGAGATAACCAACACTCTCAGAAGTCAATGAAAAAAAAATTACTCTGTAGCTATATTTTCCCCACTTGTGTAGAAACATATGGAGGGAGATGAAAGCAACTGTGCAAAAGAGGAGCTTCCGAATAAAATTTTATTTCATACAATGGAAAACACACACACACACACACACACACACACATACAACATGAGAGAGCTAAAACAAAATTGAGGTAAAAGAAAATCTGGGCCAGGCACAATGGCTCACACTTGTAATCCCAGCACTTTGGGAGAATGAGGCCAGAGAAACACTTGAGCCCAGGAGTTTGAGACCAGCCTGGGCAACACAGTGAGGCCCCTTCACTCAAAAATAAAGGAAATAAAGAAATTAGCTGGGTGTGGTGGCATACACCGGGAGGCTGAGGCTAGAGGATTGCTTGAGCCCAGGAGCTCCAGGCTGCAGTGACTATGATTGTACCACTGCACTCTAGCCTGGGTGCCAGAGCAAGGCGCCATCTCAAAACAAACAAACAAACAAACAAAAACTGAAATAAATAAGTGTGGCTTAAATTACTATAATAATAAAAAGAAGGGAGATAAAGTACAATGAAAAATAGGGTAATTTAAAAAATCAGAAATGTTGAAAAACAATAAAATTGAAATGAATCATTACAATTAAAACATCTTGAATGTAAAGCTTAAAAAGCAAATAAAATATGTACAAATTAGTGAAATCCCACTAGAGACCATAAAGCGTGAACATTTATTTTTAAAGTACTGAGAAAAAGTAGCTGTCTACTTACTTGTATACCCAGCTGTACTCTCTAGCTGAACGGCGTAAGTGAATCAATAATACTTTCAGGAGACTAATATAATCATAGATTATGGTTCAAATAATACTTAAAAGACATAGTTCAGGAAAAAATAATCAATGAACCCACAAGCAAAAATGAGGATATAAGAAGCAATGTCAAAAAAAGAATTTGATAAATGTGTTGATATATTAAAATATCATGGATTCTATTGGTCAATAACTTAAACAAGTATTGCCATTTTTCTGGCAACTAAAAACAATGTGAAACTAAAATTACAAACAATTAAATTGATGAGTGGACAGTGATGAGAGTAAACTTTTCGAAGGTCAAAGGTCCGAAAGCTTTAGGGTATCTCATGCACTTATTAATTTTTATTTTACAAACACTTAAATAGTGCTTAATATTTTCCTCAAATTTTATTAAAGATGATATAATAATATGTAGCCTGAGGTCACTACTTTTGATGTATTTATTTTAAAGGACTATTGCATCCATTTTCCCACAACCTTTTTTAGTGTTTTTGGTGGAGATGGTGGTAGTGTCATTATTTTACTTTTTTAAAATTTTGTTTTCTAACTCATTCTCCCCCAAACCAAACAGGTGTCTTTTTCCTTTCCTTTCCTTCCACTTCCCTTTCTCCTTCCCCTTCCCCTTCCCCTCCCTTCCTTCCCTTCCTTCTTTTCTTTTCTTTCTTTCTTTCTTTCTTTTTTTTTTTTTTTTTAATAAGAGAAAGGCTCTTCCTCTTTCACCCAGGCTGGAGTGCAGTGGCGTGATCACAGCTCACTACAGCCTCAAACTCCTGGGTCCAAGAGATTCCTCCGAGTAGCTACAGGCACATGCCACCACCATGCCTGGTTAATTTTTAAATTTTTAGTAGAAACAGGGATCTTGCTTTGTGGCCCAGACTGGTCTTCCACTCCTGGCCTCAAGCAATCCTATTATCTTGGCCTCCCAAAGTTCTGGGATTACAGAAATGAGCCACTGTATTTGGTCTTGCTTGTCTAATAAACTGTTCTTTTTTTTTTCAATATCTTAAAACCAGAGAATCCTCTGTTCAAACAAAATCTTTAACGTAAGTGTAAAGAAAGCCAAACAATATAATTAGGGCTCCTCTTTATAAAGAGAGAAAGTGAATAGCTGTGAGGCAGAGGAGTCACAGACACTTATCAGAAATGTTACATAGCACAGACATAAAAAAGATGTTTGAGAGGAGATAGAGGCCTCTTAGATAGGCCTCGTCCCAAATAGAAGAACACATGCAACCCCCAAATCTTTACTAACCCGCGGGTGAGGCCAGGCACAGATGTGTTTAGGCACCACAGCCATCTTTCCAGAAGACTGAAGTCCGATACTCATGGCAAACACAGAACATCTGAGTGGCTATTGATCAATGGAAGTCCTCTGGTTGGAGAAGTACTTTGATTAGAATGGAGCCTCAGAGCCCAAGGACTTCTATCAGCTTGTTCTTCTGTTGAGCCCACCACTCAGAGTTGCTAAGCCAACTGTCTGCTATATTCCCAGAAGACAGAATAAATAAGTCTACAGTGCCATGTAGTTGTATCTTTTCAGCACATCTTCCTTATCTGTATATAAAGCAAATTTTTAAACAACTTACCTCTACAAAGTCACTTTTGCCATTCAATGTAACATAGCTCTATACTAGACACTATGGGGTGAAGGTCATTGTGGTATTACGGAGGGTAGCAAAATTCCATCTATGACATCACACAAACATCAACCAAAAGAAACTTTGTGTGGCTGTAATAGTATCAGGCACAGTAGACTCTGCCATAGAGATAAAGGAGGCATTTCATACTATTAAAAGTTCAGTTAAATGGACAGTATAACAGTCACACCTTTGCTTACAACGTGATGGTAGGCATGAATCAACAGATAAAGAGAACACATTGTACTCAGAGCCTTATAATTAAAAATAAATCCAGTTAGAGTTATTTTGTAAACAAAATGTAGGAGGGATTTTAGGAAAAAAAATTGTCTTAACTCTAGACAGAGAAAAAGATAACTCATATGCAAGGAACCAACAGCAGACTATAGAACAACATCAACTGAAATAAAAAAGAGTAAAATCATATCCTCAAAATTCTATAATACTTATCAATAAATAATCAGGAACCCAGCAAAACTAATTTTAAAAAAGAAAAAAACAAAAATACTTTTTATGAACGAAATTAGAGACAACCACATAAGTATCCCCACTAAAGGAATTTTAAGAATATACTTCAGTAATATGGAAAAGATAAAAGATACTAAAATAAATATCTGAGAAATAAAAGTTGCCATGTGTACAAATTTTACCAAACAATGAATGTATACAAGCTATAATGCAGTCTTATTTATGTTGCTAAAATATTCAAATAAAAATTATTAAAATGCTCATATATCACAAGGGGTATAATAGGAGGAAGTATTTTAGCTCCTTTATTCTGGAAGAAGTTAAAGTATTAATTCAGTCACTGTATATTAATAGATGCATGATAAATTTCAAGGAGAGTAAATTCAATCAATCAGAATAAAAGGCAAAAAAGAGAAAAGCATGGAAGTTATGGTGTGACATATAAGGGGAAATACAAGTTAAAAATCAGAAATAATTCTCCCTGTTGAAAACAGAAGAGACTTTCTACACTCCCATTTCTTACAGCAAGTACTAGGTGTTGTTTATATGGAAAACATGTATATAATGGGTTGTATCTGTTTCATTATATAAAAGGGTGAAAATCCTTTATATCTTTGCAATCTATTAGGAAATTGGCCAGGATGCACAGTATATTCTGGATTAATGCTTATTTAATAATAAAATTGTTTTCTTTTTTTCTAACTTTAAGGTGAGGTTTTCTGGGTTGAGAAGAAATTTTGTGTGTGTGTGTGTTTTATCCTTTTTTCTTTTCTTTTTAAGATGGAGTCTCGCTCTGTCACCCAGGCTAGAGTGCAGTGGTGCGATCGTGGCTCACTTCGACCTCCACCTCCCGGTTTCAAGCGATTCTCCTGCCTCAGCCTCCCAAGTAGCTGGGATTACAGGCGCCAGCCACCGCACCTGGCTAATTTTTATATTTTTAGTAGAAATGGGGTTTCACCATCTTGGCCAGGCTGATCTTGAACTCCTGACCTCATGATCCACCCACCTATGCCTCCCAAAATGCTGGGATTACAAGTGTGAGCCACTGTGCCCAGAAGGAAATTTTGGTTTTAATTACATTTCCCCAACAATTCTGACAAGGATGTCTGAAACACCCTAAACTAAGGGACAGCTGAAGGTCTGTGGCCACACAAAAGTCAGTTACTTTTATGTGGATAAATTAACATATTTACTGAGATTCTTAGACAGGCCATATCCCAAGCAAATGAATTACTGGCATTTATGCGATGAAGTGAATTCTAAGGGGAAAAAAATGATATAGAATCCCAGAAGAAAAGATTGAGAAAAAATGGAGAGGAAATTGGAGAACTAAAGACACTTTCTCTTTTACAGAAATCTCCTGCTCCTCTTTTGGGGTGTCCCTGCTCCCTCTGCTTCTCCTGCTTGTCTCCCCTGACCCCTACTGCCTCCAACTCTAGCCACTGCCAGTGTCTCAAGCTAACTCCCAGGAAGAGGGAGGTGATGGATTGTTCCCCTCTTTGGTAGATTTCTCTGTAAAGAGAGATGAGGGCACAGCCTCTTTAACTGAAATGAATTACCTGCTGTGCTTGAGGACATGGTTTTGTGTGCCTTGTGGCCTAGTCCTGAGCCACTTCATGTCTTAGGCCAGAATCCTTCTCCAGGAGCCCCTTAATATCTGCACATCTTGTAGCTACAAAGCACATATGATAAAGAGACCTAAGGAAGGAATAATGAAGAACTTGCACAGAGATTGTGACATTGTATGAAAAAAACAAGATGGAGAGTAGCTGCACTGCTCACTTAGAAAAAGACAAGCTAAGAAAATGTGGTACATATACACCATGGAATACTATGCAGCCATAAAAAATGATGAGTTCATGTCCTTTGTAGGGACATGGATGAAATTGGAAATCATCATTCTCAGTAAACTATCACAAGAACAAAAAACCAAACACCGCATATTCTCACTCATAGGTGGGAATTGAACAATGCGAACACATGGACACAGGAAGGGGAACATCACACTCTGGGGACTGTTGTGGGGTGGGGGGAGGGGGGAGGGATAGCTTTAGGAGATATACCTAATGCTAAATGACGAGTTAATGGGTGCAGCACACCAGCATGGCACATGTATACATATGTAACTAACCTGCACATTGTGCACATGTACCCTAAAACTTAAAGTATAATAATAATAAAATAAAATAAAATAAAAAAAGAAAAAGACAAGCTAACTAGGTGTTAAACTGATGAATGTCATAACAGGAAGGGAAACCAAAGTGCCATGCATTTTACCTTTTTTTTTTTTTTTCAATTTGAGGAAACCCAGCCCTTTCCATTCAGATCCCAGCAAGCTAATGTGATGGGGTCCAGCAGATCACTACATCAAGGAATCTGGTGGCCAAGGAAAACCAGCTATCCACTATCCCCGCAACTATGGAAGAACTAAGGGTGTTAGAGATGCTTCAAGAGCAGTGGCCAGAGGCCATACTTAAACCCCTCCTGGCAAAGATGAGCTGGGAGAGATTGCAACCATATACCTAGAAGACGGGTGAGTCCTTCATTGACTTCCATAAGCAGTTTGTTGAGATTTTCTCAAAATTCACTGGTATGAACCCAAAGGCAGATCAAAATAATGCTCTAGTCTTAGCAACCTTTATCTCATTTTTCCTTATCTACATTAGTGCTATCTAAACCCAAGTTAAAGAAAAGGTGGTAGGAATTGCAGAGACAAGAGTCTAAAGTAGGGAATACTTGGCATATGGCTCAAAATTGGAAAAATATTGGAGGTAGGAACTGGTAAACTACATATGTCAATACTTCCCCTCAAGATAATCTAACTTTGTCTTTTCAGATAGATAGATAGATAGATAGATAGATAGATAGATAGATAGACAGATATTCTGTAATTTCCTTGGATATTTCTCATTTTCTATTTGGTGGTAATAGATCAACACAGATGGCTGGCATTTTGGGTCAGCTTTCCACTTTTCCCTCCCTAGTTCTCATATAGATAGGTTCTCTTATTAAGGAAATGTGTTTTTACTTTCTCTTGATTCTCCAGTAAATGTATTGGAGAGAGACTTGTGCAACATAAAGGCTGTCGTATTCTTTACTCCCGATGGATTGTCTATGGAAGAAACTCCGTGGGGAAAATACCCCAGATTTGGTTGCAAGGTGTCTTCTGAAAGGGGTATGGCAGAGAACAGCAGTCTGACACTATGCTAGAAAAGCATAGATCCTGATCTAAGACAAATCATTGCATGACCTTGGGCCCTAGGAAATAGTGATACTGCTATTATTCGAAATATAGAACCAATAAAAAATAGTTCAGCAAAAGTATAAGCTATGCCTACGTGTAAAACAGTATTCTTTGTCAAGAGCTTAATTAAAAAATAATGAAACCGGTTATAAAAAATTAAACAACGAATGATATTTAAAAGAAGTGGCTGGGCGTGGTGGCTCACACCTGTAATCCCAGCACTTTGGGAGGCCGAGGCAGGTGGATCACAAGGTCAGGAGATCGAGACCATCCTGGCTAACACGGTGAAACCCCGTCTTTACTAAAAATACAAAAAATTAGCTGGGCGTGGTGGCTTGCGCCTGTAGTCCCAGCTACTCGGGAGGCTGAGGCAGGAGAATGGTGTGAACCCAGGAGGCGGAGCTTGCCGAGATCGCGTCACTGCACTCCAGCCTGGGCAATAGAGCGAGATTCCATCTCAAAAAAAAAAAAAAAAAAAAAAAAAGAGAAGAAGCACTCGCCCTGTATTACCTCCATACTTCTAATAAGGAAGAAAGGTTAATTTAATGAACATGGTTGACCAATGCATACATTTGGACAAGATTTTATCCACCAATCTTTTTAATTCCTAACCCTTCAACTATTCTGACTTACGACTTTGTTACCATTGTCTGCAAAGTATTTCTCTGTAATAGATGTGTTCTGCAATTTATTGCCCTTCCTTCTTTCCCCCCTTGGTTCCTTCCTTCCTTTCTTTCTTTTTATTCCTCTAATGGGTGACTCTAAACTCTTGTTTGCATTTGCTTATGAAAGAGTTCAGTATTTACAGAAAAAAAAAACTGGAAGTGTTTGAGGATTCTTCTACTATTTTCTCTAGTCATTCACAAAATATAAAATACAATAAAATAAAAAAATCTTCCGCACCAGGAGGATCTATAATTATTCAATATGTGGATGATTCTTAGTAGCCTCAGAAACTAGAGAGTAATACAAAATTGATCACTCTGGCTTTGTTACAATTCTTTGCTTCAAAGGTGTACAAAACCCCACTAGACAAGTCACAATATTACAAAACTGAAGTAAAGTAGTTGAGAAATGAGTTATCAGCTAGAGGCCTTAGTGTGTTAGGTCCAAGAATCAGCTCATTTTGCAGATAAAATGTCCTGCTACAAAAACAAACAAACAAAAAACTTAAGCACTTTATGGGACTTGTGTGATATTATAGACAGTAAATTTTAACTTTTGCAGAGTGGTAACATCTCCTATGGAGCAACTGACTGATAATTCTCCAGATCCTCTGGTTTGGTCTTTAGAATTTGAAGAGGCTTTTGAACAATTGAAATAGGCTATAGCCTCTCCACCAGGTTTAAAGGTTACAAATTTGGAAAATCCCAATCTAATTTATTTGATATTCATATTCATATTGCATATTTGATAAGTTATTGATAATACCCCCAGGAAAAATAACATGGCCCAGATAAAAGCTTCCTAGTTGTGACTTATAAAACCTGAAAACCTTATGTTTTGTTTAGAATTAAGTCTGCACAAGCAGATGAGTTAATAGCAGTTAGTAAAAAAGTAATTTTTTAAGACTGGACTTAAAGTAAATATATATTCTAGTAATATATGGTTTATGTCAACGACATGCAAGAGAGGAATTTTTTTAAGAGGGGATTTCTTTTTATTTCAAAGACAACCAGAGTATCTCTTGGAAAATTGGAAATTGGTAGGTTGTTAGAGGCTTTACAACTGCCTGCTTGGATATCAGTAGTTCATTATACAGCTCACGTACTACAGGATGAAATACCTAATGGCAATAATTTTGCTATAGAACTGCAGAAGCTGATAAACTTGGCAAATCCCAAGCTTAGAAATTCACCTTTTAATAAAGTAAGGAACATTTATTCATTTTCAAAAATATTTTATACAAACGAAAATGGACAAATGGATGATAAAAGAAGCTAAAAGAAATTTAACTGGACTATGGAATTTACTAAACAAAATAATTTCTACACCACAGTTCCTATTTGCTTCGTTAGTATTGTTGTGTCGTCAACAACATTATCTGACTATAGGAGAATTTTGAAGGCAGTAGACTGTTACTAAGCCTGACAAAAAGACAAAATTATTCAAAACATTTAAGAAATGTGTTATGTGTTTGCAGAATTCTTATAAGTTATTCCCAAAATAAATCCAGAAAGTTTTTCCTGACCAACTTTACTGGTAATCAGGTGTTAGTCATAAAACTAATCCTTGCAAAAAGTTAGAGATTGTATTAAGTTCTGGTTGCATGATGCCTGGATGGCTTGAAGTCTTTCCCTCTTTATAAGCCAATAATCAGACAGTGATAGCTTCTCTTAATACATGTAATTCCTGCTTTTAGGATACCAGAGCACATTGAATAAGACAACGGAAGTCATTTCATTTCTATTATAACTATTATGCAGATGTTTGCAGATTCCTATGATAGTCCTTTGGACAAATAGAGCAAATGAATCAAACTAAAAAACAAAATAAACAAATTAATTGGCCAAGAGTCAACCACCTAGTATGTCAAAATGGCCTAGAGCTTTACTACTAGCCTCATTAAAAATTAGAGTGATACTCCGAAGCATACATGGGATCTTTCTTTTTAAATTTATGTGTGAGAGTCCCATGAATTCTGGGCTGAGACCATATACTATACCTGATTTAATGGAATTCTCTCAGTCACGTTCAAGGTCTTTTCCTTTCCCTAGAATTGAGACAGAGTGATAAGGTTCTGGAAAAAAACAACTGGGAAAAGTCTGCCAGCTCTATTGAAAAGAAGATTTTGTCTACATAAAACTGTTCTGTAGGATAAAACAGGCTATCATTGGACAGGGCTGGGAGAGATTCTTTCAAGTGTTAAGTACCCACATAACAAAGTGACAGGGGAGAGAAGGAAGCCAGTGGATTCTTGCTTTCCATATGAAGCTAGCACCTCTGGATCGCTGGACTACGACTCTCACAATGGATTTGAAACCTAAATTTTCTAGAGTAGCTGATATTGGTAGAAAACTAAACCAACTGGAGGTGTTTAATCAAAGATACTGCAAATCTTATAGAGATCTTACTGTCCTATTCACAGTTGGATTTTTTCTGCTTTAAAAACCACATTTTACTGGAAAACAAATGGAATTTATTACGTAACATTTTTGATCCATATTCACAGTAATGATTCCTAAAACTTTATTTCTGTTTAGCTCTAAATTCTAATCTGAATATAAACAGGATCTCAATTTGTAAATTCCAAAACCTGGTTATTGATAGAAAAAATGTGAGAATCACCTTCATTAATTTTTTTTTAAATAACAAAGTAAATGATAGGCATTTCAATACAAGTGAAGCCCTAAATTTAACCAAAAAATGTTTTGTTAACAGGTTTGATTGGAAGGATGATATGCTAAAGAAGAAGAAATCTGTCCAGGTGCAGTGGCTTATACCTATAATCCCAGCACTTTGGGAGGCCGAACCTGGCAGATTGCTTGAGCCTAGGAGTTTGAAACCAGCCTGGGCAACATGGTGAAACCCCATCTTTACCAAAAATACAAAAGTTAGCCAGGAGTGGTGGCACATGCCTGTTTTTCCAGCTACTCAGGAAGCTGAGGTGTGAGGATGCCTTGAGCCCGGGAGGTCGAGGCTGCAGTGAGCTGTGATCACGTCATTTCACTCCAGCCTTGGCAACAGAGTGAGATCCTGTCTTAAAAAAAAAAAAAAAAAAAAAAGTCCATCTAATAGAGAAACAGAAGTCTGGCATTTATATTCAGAGACTGCCCAAACCAGGTCTAATATCACTATATTCACTTTGGAATGAAAGTTCTCTCCAGTCCCAGCAGATCAATAAAGATATTTGGTTGACGGTTTCAATCCTATATATTGGGGTCTCCAGTTCTTGCGCCTTCTTTCTGTGTCATCTTGACTGAAAATCACAGAGTGCTTTGATCACTCTGTGACCCAGTGAGCTACAGGTTTTTCCTGAAGGCTTGAATCCAAACAAGGCCTTGACAATTCATTCCCAGGCACTGATAAAAGTATCTAGGTTGTTGCACAAACATCATCCCAGACTCAGCCAAACTCCTTAAACCTTCATATAAACTCCCTACCCTGACCCCCTCACCAGGGACATAACTAGGTAGAGCACCCCTTTTCTCTTTCAGTCCTTTGTGAGCATTGCTACAGCACTCGGTAAGTTTCCCTAACAAAAGCTTAGGACTGATCCCCCTGGCATTTAGTGCCTCTTGCTTTGGAATCTCAACGGGCTCCATCTGGGCATGGTTTGGGGCAATCCCGTGTGGAAATCCCTGCCGCCACTTTTGGAGTTACTCCAGCCACGTGTTCAGCCAGACGAAACAGTTTAATTATTAATTTAGATTCGATGCAAAAATAAAAAAGCAGAAGAAGCAGCCCATATAGTGGAATAGTTCTACAGGCTTGAAACAATTAGAGCCATATACATTAAACACTGAAAGTTCAGTCTGTATCTTTCAATGGGTTCCTTATAAGACTTTGATGTTAGATGGTGGCCATGGATGTCTCTGCATATTATATCAGAGGAAACTATTTGAAAAGATAGAACAATGACTAAGGGCCTAAATTGTTATATAAATCTGATGATACTCATGTGTTTATTTCTTTTTAGTCTTAATTGCTTCCAAAGCATTTTGATTGCAATGCAAATATTACTTTTATAATGTATTTTTTTCCAGTAGGAGCATTGACTTGTCCAACCTACCATTTCATCCAGAAGCACAATTTTACAAAATTTACATATCCATAGTGATTGTCTCTTTTATGCTATCTTTACTCGTGACACCCTACTTTTATTACCTTAAAAAAAAGACAATTTTAGAGCAGTTTTCAGATTATAGAAAATTGAAAAGTACAAAGCTTCTTCATACCTGTTTTGCTCCCTACAGTTTCCCTCACTATTATATCACTCTTAAAAGTGATATAATAATAGTGCAATCATGTATTTTATTTGTTACAGTAGAAGAATCAATACTGTTACATTATTAACTAAATTATATGGTATGCATTCATATTTTCCCTTTGTGTAGTAAATTCTATGGATTTTGACAAATGCATAATGCCATGTATCCACCATTACAGGGTACAGAATAATTTCATTATCCTAAACATTTCATGTGTTCCACCTGCCTATCCTTCCTTTTTTCCCCCACAAAACCCTGGCAATAACTCATCTTTAGTTTGATTCTCTCCAGTTTTGCCTTTTTCAGATTGCTACGTATTTGGAATCACATTGGATTAGCATGTACCCTGTTGAAATTGACTTCTTTCAGTTAGCAAAATGCATTTAAGTTTCTTTCATGTCTTTTCATTGTTGATAGCCCATTTCTTTATAAAGGTGAATTTTTTTTTGTATAGATACACCACAGGTTGTTTATCCACTTAGTCATTGATGTGCATTTGGTGATTTTCAGTTTTTGGCAATTACGAGTAAAGCTCCTATAAACATTTGTTGGAAGGATAAATTAAAAAAAAACTCCATGAGTAGGCATTTCATATTCAAAGTGTAGAAAGTTAAATACAAAGAAAATGTTGAAAGAAGGCAGTGAAAGTATTTCCAATTCCTTTCTTCTACTTCTTATAATATTGCTGTAATTCATTTCACTTATAGATAAGTTATAAAAAATATATTATTAATATTATTTTGAACAAACTTATCTATTAGATAAATTAATAACAAAAAATTTATTTTACTTTCATATATTTTTTAACACTCTTCATTTCTTTATGTAGACAGGAGTTTCTAACCTATATCATTTTTCTTTCCTCAGGGGAACCTCTTTCAGCAAACCTCTTTCTTTGCTGAAAGCAAAATCCCTCAAGTTTTCTTTTTTTGAGAAGTGTTTATTTTTCTTTCACTTTTGAAGGATAATTTCACTAGATATAAAATTCTAGGTTGATGGTGAATATTTCACTCCATTCTTTTCTTGCCTACCTAGTTTCTTAGGAGAAATTCATTATAACTCTTACCCTTCTTCCACTGTACATAAGGTGTTTCTTTTCATTGCCCGCTTTCAACATTTTGTCTTTGATTTTATACATTTTGAATATTATATACCTAGTTGCAGATTTTTTTTTTTTTTTTGGATTTTATCCTGCTTTGGGTTCTTAAATGTCCTCTATATGTGGTTTGTCATCTGACATATATTTTAGGAAATTCTCAGCCATTATAACTTGAAATAGGTTTTCTTTTCCTCTTACTTCTCCTTTTGTAATTTTCATTGTGCTTACATTATACATATTATTTCCCACAGTTCTTTATAAACTGGGCTTTTTTAAAAAAATGATTTTTTTCTTCTTTGTTTCTGAGTTGAGAAATTACTATTGACATATCTTCACGCTCACTGATTCCTCCTTGGCTCTGCCCAGTCTACTTATAAAACCACTGAAGACATTCTTTATTTTTATTACAGCTTTTGAAAAAACAATTCTAGCTTTCCTCTTTGACTCTTTCTTAGAATTTTCCTCTTTCTGCATACATTACATACCTCCTTTCACATGTTGTCCACTTTTTTTCATTAGAGCCCTTTGCAGTTTAATCACAGACATTTTAAATTCCTATTCTGACAATTTCAATCTCTGACATATATGTGTCCAGTTCTGTTGCTTGCTTTGTTTCCACAGACTGTGTTTCTGCTTCTTTACATCTTGTAATTTTCATTGAAAGCTAGGTATGACGTAGCAGGTGAAAAATAAAAATTGAGGTAAATAGGTCCTTAGTGTGAGGTTTTTATGTTTATCTGGAGAGATATTAGGCTGTGTTTATTGTGGTTAGTGTTTTCTGTAGCTGTAGGCATCAGAGGATGATTTTTTTCTAGCGTCCTCGTTTCTGCCTTTTGTGTGATCTTTAGTTCCCTAGAGACTCATTGTTAAATAGAAACTAAACTTTGCAGTTATTTCAGCTGTAATTTTGTTATTATACAAAAGCCCTATTGATGTGGTGGTAAGCTGTGGGAGAGGTGAAAAGTTGTAATTGTATAGCTAAATCTTAATCTTTCATTAAGACTTTATCTTTTGGGCTGTGATCTTCGCAAGTGCTATTCAGTTCTCCCTCCCCACTGCCAACACTTAGTTGAGAAAGGCTTGACAATAGGGCTGAAGTCAATTTTCCCCTTGACCCATGTTGATAATTTGGGTATTTCTCTTTTTCCAGGTCAGATAAACCCTGGTAAAATGGTCTCTTTTGATGGCAATATTTATTTTTAAGGAGAACGGAATGAACTGGCTATATTTTAAAAGGTTACTTTTCCTTTTCTCAGAGTCTGGAGGGGATTTTTCTCTCATTGTCAACCTGAGAAACTGGTGAGTTTCTTGGAAGGAAAATTCACAAAAGTGTGTGACCTCCCTAAGCCAGAGTCCCTAAAAGTTTTTATCTTTCTAGAGCTTTCTAGGGCTTTCTCTTTCTAGGGCTCAGTCTTCAGCACTTAGTGATTACCCTCTAAGTGTTTCTACCAGTTGTTGGCTCCAGCAGTGGCTTCTGCTTGAGTTAAACTGTGTTTCTCTGTATTCTCCTGTCTATCCAGTTTTGGTGGTAGTGATTTGTCCTGAGACCTCAATTCCCTGATTGAGCTAAGAAAAGTTGTTCATTTTTAGTTTCTTTGGCTTATTGGTTGTGAGAAAGGAAACTTATCAAACTGGAACTGAAAGTCTAATTACCTTTGGAATGTAAATTACTCAAATTATTCATCAAGCCCATTGGTAAAAATAAAAGTAAGTGCTCCACTTCTAAGCTTGGTTTTAGTCTGTACCTGTACACTACAACTCTGATCATCTAATGGCCCTCTTCACATCTCTCTCTCTCTCTCCTCTCACTGGAGTGCAAAGAGATGTCTGGATCTCTTAAACACCAAACAGCCATATCTACAACGAACTTTTCATCCTCTGCTCTTGCTCTCTTGAGACCACTCACCATTATTGTGTACAAATGGGGCTCCCTTAAGCAATGGTAATCCTCCTCAGGGTTCCAAAGCCTCCCTCCTTTCGTTTTTCCCCCTAGTGTTTCTGTTTCTTGTACTAGATTTTGGCTTAAATAAGTTGGTATATTCCTGCCTTATTTTTGTTGTTCCAGTTGTTTTCTTTCTTTTTTTTCTACTCTTACGGGAATAGAAAAAAAAATATGGACTTTCTCCTATAACTTTGATTTGAATGGGACATCTCATAACATTGACTTTTTCCCCATCCTAAAGTTTGTAAAGACCGTGATTTTTCAACTATGGAGGAATAATAAGATGGACTCATACTGAAGTGTGCTAAATAATTTTAAAACCCAATTTCAGAAAAGGATGTTTATTTTCTGCTTGAAATTGAAAAAAAAAGATTTTAAATGGCAGTTAAGGTCAATGGTTACATTTTTGTTCTAGCATATATCAACCTTCCTCCTACAGAATTAAACTCATTAATCTTACAGCAGAAAAGACAAAAGAAAAAATTACAGAGTATAAAAATAAAATTTATTTCAAAAAATATTGTCTATATATATACTCAGTGAGTATTTCTATTATATAGCACTTTTCCACAAATTTTCCTTTCAGTTTCTTTTCAAATTTTTCTTATCTTATGAATGAATAAAGTTATAAAGCCTCAAATATTTCAAAAATAAAGTCATTATATTTCTGGTGTTGGAAATGAGAGCTTATTTAGACTCAACAGGTATGAAAATAAAATGAAATGAACTAGGCTTTAACTTCAAGTTTTAGCATTCTACTCTAGGCTATATTTTAAGAGATGTGGAAAATGTTCTTTTAAAAATGAATAACACTAAGCCGATGCAATCAATGGCAACAATAACACATAATTGGCTGATCTTCAAAGTGGAAAAACTTTTGATTGCATATATGCAAGATCAGTTGTAGCAAATCCATATGCCTGCAAACCAAGCAACAATTTCAAAAAATGTGTTGTCTCATTTCAAAATGAATGAGATGTGGCTAAGTGCTACATCAATGTAAAAGTTTGTAGCAGAAGTAAGTTTTGGCAGACTGCTTCTGGAGGCAATGGTAGAAAAACCAGTGTTATGAGAAGGTGTGATAGAGCTTTGACAAGTCAAGAAGTAAGTGAAGGATTTTGAAAGAAAGGGATAATATACCTGAGATCTGAAGAGCAACAGAGAGTTAACTTCAAAAGCAGAAACTGGATGTGTGTGCCAGTCAGAAGAAACATGGGTACAGTTCCAATGCCAGGCACACATAACAAGGTGATGGAAACAGACAGCTAAATTGAAGCAGAGGGTATCAGGGAGCATAAATGAGACCAACAAGCCCAATTATAAAAGGCTTTTGAAGTTTTGTCTATTTTATTAAAAGCAAAGAATGGCAATTAAAGAATGTAAGTATCAAAGATTATTGGAGGCAAATGAAAGTATTTTGATCAAAATCGTACATCTAAAGGATAACTCTGCAAGTCATGTTGAGACAAGGCATAAAGAGAAAAGAATAGATAAAGGTAGAGTCATTAGGCAATTATTGTAGTATTTAGATAAGAGGGAAGAGTAGCTTTGACTAAGATGGAATGAAAAGATGAAGAAAAGTAACTCAAGAGATATACAGGAAGTGAAATATATAGTAATGATTATTTTAATCATCAAGATTCTGTGGCATATCAAAAAATTTCAAAATCCTTCTGGCTTGCCACAGCAAACATGTATTTTCATGATCATAGGTCTGCAAGTTAACTGCCATTTATGTAGTTTAGACTCGACCTGTCTGAAATTTACTGGACTCTAGGCTACTACTGATTGGGTTGAGGCTTGCTCTATGTGCCTTCATTCTGAGGCTTAGGATAGAGTGTGCCACTGTTTCAGACATGCTGTTTTTAAGGTGGTTCACCAGAGTACAAAAGGGCAAGCTAAACCACATACAGGGTGTTGGCAACTATGAACAAAACACTGTAAATAACATGGGAAATGTTGTGGATATATAATTGTATTACAGATGAATGTAGAATTTGAACCATTATTCAGTCTACCAAAGTGTTGCATATAGCACAGTGATTATGGTTGAATCAGGAGTCCAGAATGATATCTATCTTTGTAGAACTTATATGCATCATTAGATGAATGATAGTGCCATTGATTAATATAGAAAGCAATGAAAAGAAGCTAATCATGTAAGTGGAGTGAAATAACACAGCTTTGATGTGTCAAATTTTAGTTGCCGTTTTAATATCTAGAAGAAGAACTCAAGTAGATAATTAAATATAAGCCTCAAGCTCAGTGAAGAGATAGATGTGGGGGATAAAAATCTGGATATCTTTGGATAAATGGTAATTTCCATTCATATATGAACATTTCCCAGGGATACCACAACATGAGCAAAGGGTAGAACACAGGACATATACTGAAAAACTAAACTATTTTGTAATTGGATAGAGAAAAAAACACATCTAACCAGAGCACAAATAATTTGTTAAAGAGGGAAGAGAAAAAGTGGGAGATTATTTGTTATATAAACCAAGGAACAGAGAGTTTCATATTTGAGACTGTATCAAGATTAGGAATAAAATATCCCCATTGAATTTAGTTACATGGTTTATTGCTGACCTGGAATGAACAATCCTGGCAAGTAATAGGGCTTGGAATTAGCATTATAGTAGTTTTAGACTGACTGAGGTGTGGAGAAGTAAGGCCAACATTTTGGATATTTTTTAGAAGTTTCACTTAAAAAGAAATAAAATGAGGTAGTTGCTTGAAGTATAAGAGGATAGTAGAAAATATTTTTTAAGTCTTTTATTTTTGTGTCAAAGTACAGAGAGTTAAGTGTACTTAAATGCAATGAAAAAGATCCATTTCAGAAAAAGTAAATATCCATTTCAGAAAGAAGGCTTGGGAGAGTAACCTCCATGCAGGAGGGTATATGTTCCAAGCCACATAATATGATTTAGCCTTTGATAAGATAAGTGGAAAAAGAGGAAAGCTAAGGTAGGCAGTAGATGAGACAGAAAAATAAGGTCATAAAGGGATCTTCAATTTAAAGAAAAGGGACAAGATAAACAATTTAGAGTGACAATGAAGAAAATGTAGTCTTTAATAGATGGCGATGAACTTGGTGGATCATACAATATATGTTGATTATCAAAAGATAATTTTTTTTCTCACAGGCAACATGGATGTAGAAAGTCCAAGGAAATCTATAAGATAACTTGTTAAAACTAATAATTGAACCAGAAAGGTTGTGAGTTACCAGGCCATTTTTTTTCTCATGCTTTTAAAGCCACCCTAGTAGCATGTTACACAATCTCCTAGGGTTCTTTCAGAAAATTAATTCTTGTATTCTAGAAGATACTCACAAATTGATAACCTCTAATTTATCCAACCTCCTATTCATGACCCCTTGATCAAGTACACTTGAAAATATATCCCATACATTCTCTTCTGGCTTCTGTTCCTGTGCACTAGATGGGTCATGTTAAATTTTTGGGTTATAGTTTCTTTCATTTCTTATCAGACTCTCCTTTTATTTAGATAGAACATGTTGTACTTTAACCCCATTTATTGGAGTTCAGGCAAGGAATAGAATTGAGGTCTATTCTGAGGGTCTCACATGTTGTCTTAGGAGAGGTCTCTGCATCTCATTCAACCAAAATGTAGAGACGGCATTTAATAGGGAATATTGGTCCTTTTTTGCAGGCTCAGAAGGTCCTGAAGAATATAGACTTTCTTTTTTTTTTTTTTTTTGAGACACAGTCTCACTCAGTCACCCAGGCTGGAATGCAGTGGCTGGATCTCTGCTCACTGCAAGCTCTGCCTCCTGGGTTCATGCCATTCTCCTGCCTCAGCCTCCCGAGTAGCTTGGACTACAGGCACCTGCCACCACGCCCAGCTAATTTTTTTTTTTTTATGTGTGTGTATTTTTTTTTAGTACAGATGGGGTTTCACTGTGTTAGCCAGGATGGTCGCGATCTCCTGACCTCCTGATCCGCCCGCCTCGGCCTCCCAAAGTGCTGGGATTACAGGCGTGAGCCACCGCACCCGGCCGAATATAGACTTTCAAGTCTTCTCAGTGCATTAGCACAAATTTCTCCTTTCGTGGGTCAAGTTCTCATTCTTTCCCAACCAGGAGCCTGACTTTAGCATGCCAGACTTACCTGACATATGAGACTTACCTCCTTGGGAGCTCAGACAATCTGATAGTTTATTCCAGGCTCTGGGCTTCAGTTTACTCTGTTCTCCCTTGATAGGGGTAAGAATCTGTCTGTATGCAACCAGGACAACTCTCTCGATTTTGAACTTAAATTTACTTGCCAATTAATTGCTCTCAACATTTTTTTCTCTGTCCAGAGCATCAAGAGTGCTTAAAAATAGCTACCCAAATCCATTGTCCTAATAGTTCTTATGTTCTCCATATTTCTCAAATGCTGTATACTTTGCCCCAATTAATATATCACCTTCCACCAGTATACTATACCAATTCATCAAAAGTGAAAATTTTAACAATTGTACATCTATCTTGTACTAAGAACTCTCTGTATTCTACCAATAAGAATTGTCAGTGAGGGACCGTTATTGCCAGCCTGGCAGTGAGTAACCCAGCCACAAAACATCACCCCATTATCTACTTTCTTAATTCATTTATGGCATCAATTGTAATAGGCTGAGTTTCTTGGGAACCAGACACTGTACAAGAGGTTCACTTTCGTAAGGCTTATTAGGTCATACCCTAGTAATTTAGCAAAAGACAGTAGCAGAATATTTTCCAGTCATTTCTGTCTTCACTGCTAAACTAAATTTGGAAAAAAAAATCCACTGACGCCTAGTTTTTGTTTGCCAAACTTTCATCTCATGTAATTTGAATAGATGATTTTGGATAATAAAGTCAAAGTGTGAAGTGCTAAATAGTCCTTAATCACTCTGTTAGATTTCCACTTTTACCCCTTTCATCCACACGCATCTGACACAGTACACAAACACCACTTATTATACAGGTTTAAAATAAATGTCTAAAAACCTAACTCATAATCTATCATCAAATTCAAGCATTTGATTATGACAGACAGCAATCAATAGTTTAACATGACAATGTCTTTTTTTTTTTTTTTTTTTTTTTTGAGATAGAGTCTCGCCCTGTCACCCAGGCCTAAGTGCAGTGGCATGATCGCGGCTCACTACAACCTCCACCTCCCGGGTTCAAGCGATTCTCCTGCCTCAGCTTCCCGAGTAGCTGGGACTACAGGCGAGTGCCACCAAGCCTGGCTCATTTTTGTATTTTTAATAGACACCAGGTTTCACCATGCTGGCCAGGATGGTGTCGATCTCTTGATCTCATGATCCGCCCACCTCGGCCTCCCAAAGTGCTGGGATTACAGGCGTGAGCCACTGCACCCGGCCTGACAATGTCATATTTTAAGAAGCCAAAGTCTTGACTTAACAAAGGATGTTACTGGTTTATAACTATAATTTAGTATTGATTTTCCAATAACTTATTTTTCAACATTTTTTATTTCCTAACCAGGACCAAACAAAAAAATCGCTCAATACTCAACAAATGGTTAAATAATCCATAATTATCATATAGTTGAAGATTCAAGTATTAAAATTTAATTATTCCTTAAGACATCCTACTATGTGCTCCAACTTTCATGTTAACTTTAAACGGATTATTGCAAAATCAAAATTAATCTTAGATAATGTAATTACTACCCTCTCCTGGTATAAAAATAATCGTTTATTCTGATGTTCCTTAGTAAGTAAATAATAGAGTAGAATTTTTATTTGATTACTTTATTAAATTATTTAACTATATTTCTTAAGCACTTACATGCCAACACTAGGGGAAAAAAATGAACAGTAAGGCAGGCATTAGCCCTCACAAATACTACAAAGTTTCAGAATTACTATTAAAGAAAGGACATAATTACAGTAAATCATTATTGGTTAAAACAGAAAGTTCGTGTTGTCATAGGAATATAATAAAATAAAATGTATTATGATTTGAGATTTAGGCAGGCCTCATTAAAGAAGATAAAAGATTAGAAGGAGTAGCTACAATGCAGAGGAAGGAATGAGGGAGGGAGATAGAATCTCCTGGTAAATAGATCATGCAAAGAAGTCTAAATTGCAGAGAGGATTGCCTCCTCCAAAGTCACAGAAACTACAGCTGGAACATGGATTTCAGCTCAGGTACACAAACACCAAACTCGCTTTTCTATCCACACACTTTATGTTTTTGTTATATAATTGTTTCCCAGATTATGTTTATTCCTGTTATTCATCTTTCTCACTGAAGTCTGGAATTTTTGTCCACAGAATAAAGAGACAAAAAGGTTATAAGAGCTTCATGTCTAATGATTTCCTTGTAAAAATCTGCTGCTGCTTGTGCCTAGTGCTCTCTTTTGGGCTTCTTTGTTTCAATTGACATGCTCTGAGAGGCACTTCATAACCTGAAAAACTGTAGGCACCTACTCCATAAACAGTAATTAATAAAGCATATGAAATTAGTTTAAGGAAAAATAAAATGTGGAAACAAATTTTAAATGTGAGATGATATACCGAAGCTCAAGTTGCTTACAAATCCAACCAGTCATGTAAATATCTGACCTTTTATTTATAATCTCTGAGTTGGGAATAGGAAACCTCCTGGAGCTTTTGGGAGTGGCCAGCTACATGATTCATGTGACCCATACCCTCATCTCTCTAACATATTGAATATTCTCTCACTTGGGGTGTATCTTCAACTGTATGTCCTCTTCCCTCCATTAACATACTCAATCATTTTCTTAGAGCATCCCTCAGTCAAAAAGTACCCATAGAGGTATTAAATTACTATGTTCTCTCTCCCCTTTCCCTATCACCCTCCTTCTTAAGGTCTCTGTAACACCTCTTTTCTGACAACACAGGTACAAATTAACGTTTTCTCTTCCTCTAGGATACAGGTCAATGAATATCCTCAATTGTCAAAGGTTACACAAGATTGAGTGAATGTGTGTATTTGATTAATTCCTATTTTTCTTTGTTAAATCTATATATTACTTTGTTTAAATTTTAAGTAAATTTTCAGGACCCAACTGCTAAATATGATCAATGTAAAGGGATTCTAAGATCATTGTAACATCATGCACATGAGTACAGTGACATTATGTATACCAACTTCAAAATTTTGTTCATAGAAAAGGCTTGAGTGATCTGCTCATATAATTATACTCACAGGAAAATAAATTCCTTTTAAAGTGTCATGAATAAAAGAAAATGTTCTTTGAGGAATGTTTCACTCTTAAAATTGTAGCTAAAGAAAAGAAATCAGAGGTGATTGTCTGTGACTATGATTTTAAATACATCAAGTATTTTTGCTGGCAAATTTCGTAAGTTGAGGGTTATAATGGGTACGACGGCAAAATTTAGATCCCTAATGCACTCTCGAAATGTTCAGAATGATTCATTTCAGTACTTTAGTTTACTCTTTATACCTGAAGAATTCATGTAAGTTTAAAGTTTTTTTGTCTTGAATATGTTTTCTCTGTATTTTTATTGATTTAGATTACTTATATTTTCATCATTTTTTGATTGTTCAAAAGCCATTTCTTTTCTAAAAGCAAACCTTGAAAGCTTCAGATTTAAGGACATATAAAAGAAACTTCTGCTCTTTAATTATGTAAAAATTTTTCATTGTTGCCACCCTCAAATCTAATAAAACTACTTGCACCATAGCCATGATTTTCAAAAATATTTGTCACTTTTATTCTTTTTCTTTCTCAGCTTCTGAGTAGTGTTTGATCACTTTTTTAAAAAACTCTCTTTTCTTCTGTTTGATGACTCCAATCTGCCTAAGCTCGCTTTTTAATAATTCTGTGGATATCCCTTCATCTCTTTTCCCTGTGAAGGCTGATGTTACCCCAGAGGTCTGTTCTTGACCCTTATATCCTCTCTGTAATCTGTCTTTGAAATTTTTAAAATTCTCATGGATTGAACTTCAATTAATCTGCTGGGAATACTTAATTCTGTATGTCTAAAATCCTAACATTTATTTCAAATGTCCCACTAGATATGTAAAATTCAGCTTGTTTGAAGTACAGTGTGTATGATTCTCTTACCAAATTTATTCCTTCTCCTATATTATATATCCAAGATAATCACATCATTATCCACCTTATTATGGTTACATTGGTTATATATCCCTTTCCCACAACAGTCACATCAATGCATGCATTGTGTTGTTTCTATTTTCTAAAACTCTTCCAAACTATATATTCTTAAACGGTCAATTCTCTAATCTAAGCTCTTGCCATTTTTTTACTTGGTTCTATGATTTCAATATTTGTCCCCTCCAAAACTCATGTTGGAATTCAGTTTCCATTATGGCAGTGTTAGGAGTTAGGATTTGGTTAGGTGATGGGGTGAACCCTCATGGGTGGGATTAATGCTGTTATAAAAGGGCAGGATTGGCCCCTTGTTACGTCTTTGTCAGTCCGTCTTTTGCCGTGTGATAATGAATCATTCTTCTCTTCAGAAGAACACGACGTTCAAGGCAATATCTTGGAATCAGAATCACCAAACCTGCCAGTGCCTTGATATTAGACTTCCCAGCCTCCAGATCTGTGAGCCAGTACATTTGTGTTCATTATAAATTACTCAGTCTCAGATATTCTGTTATAGGAGCACCACACAAACTAAGACACTTGTGTACTTGCAAAGACCTTCTAATTATCACCCTTCTTTTTCTTCTACTGATTCTCCACACTATCTTTAGAGAGATGCTTCTAAAATTAAAATTTGATGTATTCCTTTTATATTACTAATATGTCTAGAACAACAATTATATGTTGAATTAATTCAGGCTACTTGCCGTCTCTCCTAGAGAATCTATACCTTGGATGGCACAGATGATAATGGTAATAAAACTGTTGCTCTATGTTGCCAGGAGCTTTTGTCTTTTAGGAAGAACAGAGATCACCTTGAATCAGATTGTAGGTGTTTTACAAGTATCCACTTGAATGATCCCCCTTAATTATGTAAATATTGAGTGAGTCAGCATTCATTGACCTCCAGAGAAAGCTGTGGAAGAACCTTTGGTGACTTCATTAAGGACATTACTTGAGATGCAAAAACATTCCCTAATCATCAAAGCTGGCTGTGGGAACTGGGAAGGTGGAGAGGGAGAGTGTAACATATGCAACACCATTCATAGATCCAGTGCTTCTGAGAGGTGAGGGACAAAAACTCCAGAGTCTGCTTTCCAGATCTGAACCTATGGAGGCCTATCAGGGTGGACTAAAGTGTCCCTGATGAGAACAAAGAAATACAGATGAGCAACAAGTTGCCTGAAATAAAATTACCACAAAAAACTGGGTCTGGTCTCCTGACTGAGGTTCAAAATTTAGTCCTTAAAAATTGATAAGGCCATTTTGTCCCTCTCTTTGTAACTCTTGCTTAAAATGTCCATTTGTATCTTAGCTACAAAGATATCAGATTAAACATCACATTACCAATAAAATATCCAAAATTCTGAGAGCTTAAGTTCCTTCTAAGTTACTCCAGGATCTCAAAGAGAATTACTTTTTAGAACAAGGTCTTAGGCATGTATGCAATAACTTGCCAGTTTTTACAGAATTGGAGCCAATTACATCAAGTGATGGTAGTGGGGAGAAAGCCTGATGGAACTCTCCTGCCCCCAAATGTTGATTTTGAAGCAGCTTGATAACTTTTTGATTTTGGATGTTGAGGATTGAAAACCAAATTTATGAACTTATGGTGTAAAAACTTACCAAGACTGCAAATTATGTAAGAACCGGCTTCTTCCAGAAAAAGAGATCTACAACACCCACCCCCCGTGGAAAAAAAAGATCTACAATTTCTGGTAAACAACTTTATTTGAAACCCATAGTCTGTACCTTTAGCCAACTAAAAGTGAATACATATTTCCCACTTAAATGAATCCCTAGTCTTTTCCAGTGTTTGATTTCTTCCTTAGAAATTAACTTTGAAGCATAACCTTAATAATAGTACTTATAAAGATCTTTTTGCATTTCCTTTTAGGGAAACTGTTTAGATATTGTTCTAAAACACATTCTCCCTTAATGATGGGGCAATTAATACAATCAGTATCCTTTAATATTTTAACAGAGATTTACATGATGCTTTTTGTGGGAACTCCAAAGGGATCCTCACTTTATCCTCTATATGTGTATGGGTAATTTTCCTGATGAGTTGCTCTTATTACTACAGATAGGAAGAATGAAATAATAGTGATGTGAGAAAATGGCAGTTCAGGGCTCCAAGGACCCTTGGATAAGTTTGAAAAATCTGTAGATACTAGTTCAAAAAATTAATTTAATATTTATTATTCAAGAAGATATATTTTGTGCCCTTTGCTCGATTATATTCTGAACTTGGGTGGAAGGTAGGGATCTCCATTTGCACAACCATAATTGTTTTAATAATAGATGGTAATAAGGATTATATATAATTCTGTTTCAGTCACATGGAACTAATAGTGTCAGTGGAAAATTTTGATAGAGAGAATTTGCTCTTGAGAGGGAGGAGGAAAGGAAGGGAGGAAATATCAGATCAAATGAAAGCTGATTTTTTGGAGAAGGATTTGGAAAATGAGAGTTCTGTGAAGCCATGGCTAAATTATAGAATAATGGGGAATTTCAACATATAAAACAACATTTCAACATTTCTCAATGTTTATTTCAGAACTGGGAACTAAAATATGCTTGCAGACCCCTTGGCATTATTTTCATGTAGGAACTACATAATCTGAGGAAACAGTCGGCTAAGAAGGTTAGTTTCTGAGGCAAGAAATTTGGTTGAATGAAAAGGCAAATTGCATATCTTTCTTTGTGATGTGTTTATAAATTGTCAGATGATTCAAGATTTAGTGATGGCGCATTTCCCTTACAGGCAAAGGAGAAAAATTCAGGCTAAGAGACAAATATGAGCTCATTACTGGTACAAAAACAAGCTGAACACTTGGCCTATTGACCCGGAGAAATGAACAGATATATCACATCAATGAGGCTTCGTGAAAAACAGATAATAGTTAGCAACTGAATGATTTTTTTTCTAAATATTAGGTGGTATTATATGGTATTTCCCTACCAGTGGTCTAATATGGTATTTGAAATTCTACAGCCTTTGGGGAGATTCAATTTATTAAAGGAGGGGATGCTGGAAGGAATAATTGGAAAATAATGACATGAACTGAGAAGGTCTTAAGTCAGTAAAAAAAGAAAAAAAAAACATATATATATATACACACACACATACATAGTAAAGTGAGGGTTAAACTAAAACCAGGAGCTAAATCATGACTAGAGGTGCCTGTCATAATTATTTTGTGAAAAATATAAATATTGAACACTAGAAGTTGTGGCTCAAACTGTTTATACTTTGTTATGGACTAAATGTTGAGTCCCTCCAAAATTCATATGTTGAAAACCTAATCCCCAGTATGGCTGGCTGTATTTGGAGATGGAACATTTAAGGAAGTATCTAAGGTTAAATAAGCTTGTAAGGGTGGGGGCTTAACCCAATAGGATTAGTATTGTTGTAAGAAGAGAAACCAGAGAGCTCACCCTCATTCTGTCTCTACCCATGGACATACACTGAGAAAAGGTCACATGATGACATAGCAAAAAGGCACTTCTACAAGCCAGGAAGAGAGCCTTCGCGAGAAATATAATCAATTAGCTAGAACTTTGACTTGGGACTTCTTGCCTCCAAAATCGTGAGAAAATATACTTCTGTTGTTTAAGATACCTAGTCTATGGTATTTTGCTATGGCAGCCCAAGTAGACTAATACACTGTCAGGAATAAAAACAAAAATGCTCTGAGGAGTAGAAAATGGTGATTCTTAGTGTAGAAAAGGCAAAATGATCCAAGATATCTTAAGGCAAAAGATTAATGATTTCAGAGTTTTCTGTGTCAGTTTAGGGCTAGGAAAGTGGACCACCCTGAAAATGACTGACTGCCAATGGTAGGACTAAGTAAACACTGCTATTTTGAGTATAAACAGCAATAGTAGTCAAATGAAAGAAACTTAGTCGCTAAAAGAGCACTGAATCTAAGACAGATCTATTGAACTTTGGAGACGGACATGACGTATGTTAAAAGTAGAATAATGGGAGTTCCATTATTCCAGAACGGCAGCCAGAGAGTTTCCACAGAGCTGCAACTCAGTGAAACACGCATAACTAGTGAAAATTATACAAAAATCCAACTATTTAAAATCACTGGATAACACCCTAAAAGTATACAGCAAAAGAGAATAGAAGACACAAGAAAACTATAAAAACTCAGCAAGAAGAGTGAAAGTATGTGGCATTTCAATCATGACCCACCTCCTTCCTCCATTCCTCCCTATTCCTAACTCAGTGTGATAGAAACTCCATTTCAGATTAGATATCTTACAGGAAATTAAATCAATTCTTGGAAGACCCAAACTATTGACACTGACTCAAAAAGAATTAGCAAATCTGAAAATCTATATGAAGCAGAGACTGAATTAGAAGGTAAAAAGCCACCCAGAAATAAACTCCCAGGTGCAGATTATTTCAATGTTGAAATCTACCATATGCTTCAAGAATTAATAATGATTTTTCACAAGCTCATACAAATTACAAAAGAGAAAGAAACTCTTTCCAACTCATTCTACGTTTATTTAAACACCAAACAAAACCATCTCAGGAAAATAAATCTAGAGACCAGTGTCTTTTATGAATATAGACCAAAAATTCTCAATAATTCTAGCTAACTGAATTCATCAGCACTTAAAAATGTTTATATATGATTACCAATAAGGATTTATTTCAAAAATGTAAGGTTGGTTTAATGTGGAAATCAATTTATGCATTTCACAACATTTAACAACAGCAACAAAGAATATAACAACCAAGTTCATCTCAGCAGGTGCAGCAAAAGCATTGGATAAAATCTGAAACCTGTTCGTGATAAAAATGCTCAAAATATTAGGAATAAATGGAATTCTCTCAATCTAATAAAGGGAATTCACATGCACCCCTCAACCCCACCCCACCACACACACACACACACACACAGAGAGAGAGAGAGAGAGAGAGAGAGAGAGAGAGAATTCCACAGATAACATTATACTTAATGGTGAAAGGCTGAATACTTTTCTTTAAGTTGGGATACAAGATAAGGATATTTGCTCTATTGTTTCTATTCAACATTTTACTGCGGTTTCCAGACAGGACAGTTAGATAAGAAAAAAGTAAAAAGCATGCAGGTGGTAAAGGAAGTAGAAAATAGTCTCTACCACAGATTCCACTACATAGTATCAAGAAAGTCCTAAGAATTCTGCTAAAAACTTCACTAATTAATAAACTAGTTAAGCAAGGTTCCACAAGACAAGATCAATATGCAGAAAGCAATCATATTTCTATGTTCTTGCAATGAAAAATAAGAAGAGAAAAGAATTTAAAATTTTTATTTAAAACCTCATCAAAAATAATAAAGTAAAAATAAATTTAGCTCAAAAAGTGCAAAACTTACACTCAGTAATACTAATTATTATTGACAGAAATTAAAGAAGATCTAAAAAATGAATTAAAATTCATCTTTATGGATTGACAAACATAATATTAAGGTGGCAATACTCTCCAAATTGATGTACAGACTCAATCTTTGCAAAAATTGATAGTTTAATAATCCACATGAAAGTTGAGGGCATCCTGAATAGCCAAAACTATCTTGTAAAAGAACAAAGTTGGAAGTCATACTTTCTAAACATACTACAAAGCTGCAGTAATCAAGTTTGGTACTGGCATAATGGTAGAGATTCAATTCTATAATGTTTGATTTTATAATCGTGTATTACATATGATACCACAGCACAGCAACTAAAGAAAATAGATAAATTGGACTTCATTATAATTTCAAACCTTTGTGCTTCAGGGAACATCAAGAAAGTGAAAAGAAAAGCTAAAATATAGGAGAAAATATTTGCAAAACATGTCTATTTTATGATGCGCTTATATCTAGCATAAACCAAGAACTTTTACAATTCAATCATAAAAGACAAATTACTCAGTTAAAATGAGCAAAATATTTTAATAGGCATTTCATCAAAGAAGATTTACAAATGCTCTACATGCACATAAAAAGTTGGTCAACATCATTAGTCATCCGGTAAATGCAAATCAAAACCACATTGAGTTTATCACTTCTTAAGCACCCTAGGATGGCTATTATCAGAAAGATAGATAATAGCAAGTATTGGCAGGATTTGAAGATATTGAAATCCTCCTAAACTGCTGGTGAGAAAGTAAAGTAGGGCAATTCTTTGGAAAACAACCTAGCAGTTCCTCAAAAAGTTAAGCATAAAATTACAACATGACCTAGCAATTTCACTCCTAGGTATATATCCAAGTGAATTGAACACATATGTCCTTACAAAGACTTGTGTATGAATATTCATAATGACATTATTTATAATAGCCAAAAAATGGAAGGAAGTCAAATATCCATCAACTGATGAAAGGGTTTCTAAAATGGGATATATCCACAAAAATAAAATATTATTCAGGAATAAAAAGGAATTAAATACCAATACATGCTACAACATGAATTAACATTGAAAACATTATGGCATGTTAAAGAAGGTTACATATTGAATAAGTCTATTTGTATAACATATCCAGAACAATTTTGCCAGGTCTGGTTGATGGGGAAGAGGATTGGAAGATGATGGCCAAGGGATATGGGAGTTTTTTGGTGCTGAAATGTAAAGTTGATTTGATGGTTTCAAAACTCTGAATATACTAAAGCCATTGAACTGGACATATTAAATGAGTGAAATGAATGGTATGTAAGTTATATCTCAACTAAGTTATTTTTTAAAAGTAGCTTAATGTATGTAGCACATCATTTCAATATCATTTGCAAATTTTGATAATGGTACATATTCATCAAATTATGCTTTAAAAGTGCAACATTGGAATTTTGGACAACCCCCAAATTACAAATTGCATATCTGTTTCATGCTATATAAAAGATAATACTGTTTGTCTGCCCCACATTAATCCTTTCCTCTTTTCTCCCAATAGAACTCAGCTTTTGTTAAATATCTACCCTCACCTCACCGCCCTGCACCCTGGTGAAGGTGACACTATCTCCAGTATCAGGAATAGATCTAATTGCTCAAATGTTATTTCTGTTATCCTCACTGAGAATGTAATCTGGATATAGAAAATGAGAAAAGAGGAGAAATCTGCTCCAGAGCAACTGAAAAACTTTCTTAAATCTTCACAGCAAGCCACAGTAAATATTTCTTCCTCTAGATGTTGCCTGGATGATATAATTGAGGATTTCAATTTTCTCAACATCAGCCTGAGGATGCAGCAATCACTGAAATGGCAGTGCATTCGGGCATAAAGAACCCAAGTCCTTATGAATACACTGCCAAATCAAGCAATCCTGGTGCCAACTCTATCTTTGAACTATCCTGTGTGATAGAAATTTTCCTTATTTATTTATGCAGTTTTAATCTGGGATTCCTTTGCCTGCACTTGTAAATAGATCAATACATAAACTTTTGATTTGTTTGAATTGTTAGGTTAAGCCATATTTGTGAATGAATACATATCCATAAGGATAATTTTGTTTTGCCTATATTATTAAAATAGCACAAAAGATAGGATTATCAAATCAGACTCAAAAGAATCAGAAATCTTACCCATTGTCAAATCCTGGTAATTTCAAAGATACAAGTAATCAGGAGCCATTAGCAAAACAGGAAAATTGTGGGACCACCAATCTTCTTCCCAAAGTTCTTTTTGATACATAGGCAACACTCTGTTTCAGATATAACATATGAATTATCTAAGCGATGCATTGACTGTGGTTTCCTGCCTCCCTCTTAGAAGAACACGTGCAAGTCCATGGCAATCTCCCATCTGAAGAACCTTAATTTAATCAAATCTTCAAGACACGGACATCTATGAGGGTCATTATTTAGCACAATAGAGAGAGCTTGCCTATATTGTGTTAAAGTGATATCTAATCATTTCTCGTGATTTGTTGCTAAATAAAGGATATTTTGTTTTCAATATCTAATTTTTCATTGCTTGTATATAAAAATGCAACTGAATTTTGCATATTGACTTTGTATGCTGCAACTTTACTAACCATACTTATTAATCCTGATGTTTTTGTAGATTATTTTGGATTTTCTATGCAGATAAATTCTCTAATCTGTGAATGGAAACTGTTTAATATCTTTCTTTCTAATCCATACATGTATTTTTTCCTATTTTATTTCTCTAGTATATCTTTGAATAGAAATGCTTTGAGTGAATCTTCTTGCCTAATTCCAAGATTAAGGAGAAAACATTCAGTCTTTCTCCATCATATAGGATATTAATATCAAATTCATTTTTGTTGTTATTTACTTTATAGATGCTCTTTCCCTTCTATTACTGGTTTTCAGAGTTTTCATGATTACTTGGTGTGAACTTTGCAAGCAACTTTTCAGCATCTATTGATGTGACCACAGATTTTTAATTCTTTAGTTTATAGATGGTAAATGATAGTTTATTTTCAAGTAATTAACTTTGCATTTCTGGAATAAATGGCACATGAAAATAATGATTAACTTTTTTACATTTTGCTAGATTACATTTTAATAAATTTATTGAGCCTCCATTTGTATATGTTCTTAAAGTTATTGGCTTTCTTCTAAGTTCTTCCTCAGTTTGGATATTAATGACATAATTTTGAATAATATCAAATCAAAATTTCATATTTTTTTCTTTTCTTCTATTTTCTAAAAGTGTTTCTCAACCTCAGCCCTGACATTTTTGTTCAAATAATTCTTTGCTCTGGAAGGCTATCTTACCTTCTTTTGACTTTTTACTTAACTATTGGGTTATTCAGAAATGTGCAGCTTTATTTTCAAATAATTGAGAATTTTCCATATATTTTTGATTATAGTTTCCAGTATAATTCTAACTAGTCCAACATCCTTTATATAAATTATCTTATACTTTAACTTTTTTAATATTCCAAAATTTGGTTTACATTGACATTCACTGTACATTTGAGATGAATGTACATCCTGTGATTTTGCAGAGATGTTCTATAAATTTCTATTAGATTATTTGATTGCATCATTTAGATTTACTATATTGTTGATTTTCTATTGACTTTTGCTATAGAGGAATGTTAAAATCTCCAAAAAATACTGAAATTGCCACATCTATTTTCAGTCCCATCAGTTTTTGTTTTATGTATTTTGAAACTCTATTGTGGGTATGTACATATTTATGACTTTTATGTCTTCTTTATAGTTGTTAAATGTTTCTGCTTATCCCTAGAGATATTTCTGTTTCTGAAGTCTACTTTAACATTAATAGAGCTTCCTAGCTTTCATTTGATTAATGTTTGTGTAATATATCTTTTCCCATTCTTTTACTTTTAATGTATGTATGTGTTTACATTAAAAATAGGTTACATTTGGTCAGCATATAGTTGTGTTTTTTAATAAACATTCTGGCTATCACTATGTTATTTGATACATGTAGGCCATTTACAAATAATACAATAATAGATATCATAAACATATGATTTTTCAGGTTTCTATTTGTTCTAGTTATCATTTGTTCCTTAATATTTCCTCTTTTTGCCTGTCTTTGGTTAGTTTGAATTGTGTGATTCAATCTTATGTTCACTGTTGGTTCAGTATGTATACATCTGTTTTGTAAAAGTAGTTCCCTTAGTGTTTAAAATAGGTATTTTAACTAATCAGTTTTTTTACATAATATTGTTTACATAGAGTTAAGGAAACTGCTTATAGTATGTTTTCTATTCCTTTATCCCATCTTCTGTGCTAACAGTGACATATATTTTCTTTTACATATGCTGTTAATCCACAATACATTGAAACTAGTTTTAGAGAAGAAGTTAGCAACTTATGGCCTGTGGGTCAAATCTGGCCTGCCATCTGTCACAAGTCGAGTTTTATTACAATAGAGCCATATCCATTTGTTCACCTATTGTTTGCAGCTGGTTGCATACTGAAACAGCAGAAGTAAGTAGTTGCAACAGAAACCATATGGTCCACAAAGGCTATAAAATTTACTGGCTATCCCTTAACAGAAAAAGTTTGTAATCCCTGCTTTAAAAAATGCAATCATCTTTTAAAGTGATTAAAAATAATCCCTCAATTTTACTTTTGATTTAGCCATTTCAAGACATCATTTTTTGTATAAACTCAAGTTTTATCAAAAAAAGATTCCTTCTGCCTGAAATACTTTTGAAAATATTTCTTGCAGTGCTTATCTGCTATTAGTAAATTATCTCCAATTTGTTTATATTGTATTGAAAATATATCATTTTATCTTTAATTTTAAAAGATAGTTTCACTGTTCATATCATTGTGGGTTGATGGCTTTTATTTGTAGCACTTCAAGGGTGTCACTCTATGGTCATTCAGTTTACATAGATTCTGAAAATAAGTCTGCCGTGTTTCTTCTGTTTCTTCTTCGTATGTATTCTGTCTTATGTTCTCTGAATGCCTTCAAGATTGTTTCCTTTGCTTTGCTCTTTAGCCAGCTGAATATGATGTGTCTTGTGCTCATTTACAAAAATTATCTTACTTGGGTTTCTCTGAAATCATTAGATCTATGGTTTAGCATGTTTTATTGATTTTGCAAAAGCTGAGCTCTCATCTCTTTAAATCTCTTTCTCTCCCTTTATCTCTCTTCTCCTCCTGATATTCTGACGCCATATATATTTTTATATATGTCTGTCATTAACTAATTTTACATTGGCTGGGTATGGTGACTCACACCTGTAATCCCAGCACTTTGGGAGGGCGAGGAGGGTGGATCACTCCAGGCCAGGAGTTTGAGACCAGCCAGGCCAACATGGCAAAACCCTGTCTCTACTAAAAATACAAAAATTAGCTGGACATGGTGGTGGGTGCCCATAATACCAGCTACTCGGGTGGCTGAGGCACAAAATTCACTTAAACCCAGAAGGCAGAGGTTGCAGTGAGCCAAGATTGGGCTACTGCACTCCAGCCTGGGAGACAGATTGAGATTCTGTCTCAAATAAAAAACAAAAGCGAAACAAAACAACCACTAAAAGAGCTTGACATTTTCTCAGAACTCTTTCATTCTCTGCTCTTTCTCCCCACTCTGTTTTCTATTTGTATTTAACTTTGGGTAATTGCTATTGACCTACTTTTGAGTTCATTGATTCTTTACTGATTCTTTACTCAGAGTTTAGTCTACTGATGAGTTTATCAAAGACATTCTTCATCTTTGTTACTCTGCTCTTCATTTTCGGCATTTCTAGTTGATTTTTTTTTGTATACTCTTCATCTCTCCAATAAAATTTCTCATTTACTACAGCATGCTGCATATAAGTCACAGATACTTAATATTCACTGTTGATAGCATTAATATGTGAGTTTTCTCTGATTGTCATTTTATTTGTTGCTTTGTGTATCGACAGTGCATTGATTTTTCTTGCTTTGTTTTGCCTCTGGATTTTTTAAAATTAGAGACTACGGGATACAAAATCAATGTACAAAAATCACAAGCATTCTTATACACCAACAACACACAAACAGAGAGCCAAATCATGAGTGAACTCCCATTCACAATTGCTTCAAAGAGAATAAAATACCTAGGAATCCAACTTACAAGGGATGTGAAGGACCTCTTCAAGGAGAACTACAAACCACTGCTCAACGAAATAAAAGAGGATACAAAGAAATGGAAGAACATTCCATGCTCATGGGTAGGAAGAATCAATATTGTGAAAATGGCTATACTGCCCAAGGTAATTTACAGATTCAATGCCATCCCCATCAAGCTACCAATGACTTTCTTCACAGAATTGGAAAAAACTACTTTAAAGTTCATATGGAACCAAAAAGGAGCCTGCATCGCCAAGTCAATCCTAAGCCAAAAGAACAAAGCTGGAGGCATCACACTACCTGACTTCAAACTATACTACAAGGCTACAGTAACCAAAACAGCATGGTACTGGTACCAAAACAGAGATATAGATCAATGGAACAGAAGAGAGCCCTCAGAAATAACGCCACATATCTACAACTATCTGATCTTTGACAAACCTGAGAAAAACAAGCAATGGGGAAAGGATTCCCTATTTAATAAATGGTGCTGGGAAAACTGGCTAGCCATATGTAGAAAGCTGAAACTGGATCTCTTCCTTACACCTTATACAAAAATCAATTCAAGATGGATTAAAGATTTAAACGTTAGACCTAAAACCATAAAAACCCTAGAAGAAAACCTAGGCATTACCATTCAGGACATAGGCATGGGCAAGGACTTCATGTCTAAAACACCAAAAGCAATGGCAACAAAAGCCAACATTGACAAATGGGATCTAATTAAACTAAAGAGCTTCTGCACAGCAAAAGAAACTACCATCAGAGTGAACAGGCAACCTACAAAATGGGAGAAAATTTTCGCAACCTACTCATCTGACAAAGGGCTAATATCCAGAATCTACAATGAACTCAAACAAATTTACAAGAAAAAAAACAAACAACCCCATCAAAAAGTGGGCGAAGGACATGAACAGACACTTCTCAGAAGAAGACATTTATGCAGCCAAAAAACACATGAAAAAATGCTCACCATTACTGGCCATCAGAGAAATGCAAATCAAAACCACAATGAGATACCATCTCACACCAGTTAGAATGACGATCATTAAAAAGTCAGGAAACAACAGGGGCTGGAGAGGATGTGGAGAAATAGGAACACTTTTACACTGTTGGTGGGACTGTAAACTAGTTCAACCATTGTGGAAGTCAGTGTGGCTATTCCTCAGGGATCTAGAACTAGAAATACCATTTGACCCAGCCATCCCATTACTGGGTATATACCCAAAGGACTATAAATCATGCTGCTATAAAGGACTATAAAGACACATGCACACGTACGTTTATTGCGGCATTATTCACAATAGCAAAGACTTGGAACCAACCCAAATGTCCAACAATGATAGACTGGATTAAGAAAATGTGGCACATATACACCATGGAATACTATGCAGCCATAAAAAATGATGAGTTCATGTCCTTTGTAGGGACATGGATGAAATTGGAAATCATCATTCTCAGTAAACTATTGTAAGAACAAAAAACCAAACACCGCATATTCTCACTCATAGGTGGGAACTGAACAATGAGAACACATGGACACAGGAAGGGGAACATCATACTCTGGGGACTGTTGTGGGGTGGGGGGAGGGGGGAGGGATAGCATTAGGAGATATACCTAATGCTAGATGACGAGTTAGTGGGTGCAGTGCACCAGCATGGCACATGTATACATATGTAACCAACCTGCACATTGTGCACATGTACCCTAAAACTTAAAGTATAATAATAATGAATTAAAAAAATAAAATAAAATAAAATAAAACTAAGAGTCTGGTCAATGAAACAAAAAAATAAAATAAAATAAAATAAAATAAAATAAAATAAAATAAGAGAGTAGACGTCATGATTAGTACAGAAAAAAAAAGTTGTAAATAATAATTACTGCTGAAAATGGGCATTTCTTTTCTTGTGCTAGGCTATTGGTTTGTGGGCTGAGCCAAACTAATTAGAGTTGAGCTGCGCTCAGATTTTTTTTTTGTTGTGGTCACTTTTATTGCCATTTCTAAAGGGAGTTTCAGTTAAGGATTCAGCCCCACTGTGGCCAACTAGGGTCTTACACAAATCTTCATTCCTAATCCAGATGCCTACCATTAGAGGTCTTTTTATCTGGGGCCTTCAACAAAGGCCTTCCTCAGGTGCCTCTACCAAGAACTTGTTATTAGAGAGATGGAGTGTATCAGTCTGTTCTCACAGTGATATAAAGAACTACCTGAGACTAGGTAATTTATGAAGAAAAGAGGTTTAATTGACTCACAGTTCCACAGACTGTACAGGAAGCATGTCTGGGAGGCCTCAGGAAACTTAACAGTCATGGCAGAACAGGAAGCAACCACGTCTTACCATGGCAGAGCAGGAGAGAAAGAGAGAAGGGGGAAGTGCCACACACTTTTAAACCACCAGATCTCGTGAGAACTCACTCACTATCAAGAGAACAGCTAGGGGGAAATTCTCCCCTATGATCCAATCACCTCCTACTATGTCCCTCCTCCAATTTAACATGAGATTGGGCGGGGATGCAAATCCAAACCATATCATGGAGGACGAGGCAGAACTTAGAATACCCTTCTCTCCACTCTGACTTGGGACTCAGTACTTTTTTACTCCTAGGCCTTTTCCCCGTGCTCCTCCCCACTTCTGGGTCCATATAGCTGTCGCAGCGTTTTATTTGGGGTTCTCTCCACAGTGAGAGGATCCTGTGTCTGTGCTGATTTGCCTGATCAATTGGCAGGCCATTCCATGGGGGAAAAATGGAAGAGGGAGGATTTGCTGCTTTCTCCAGTTTAGCCTCTTGCCAATACTATTGCCGTAAGTAATTAAAGGCTTTACTGCTACTTCATTCTGCTTTGCTGACTCAATTGGCTATTCTGACACCTGAGGAGTCAGCTCCCCAGGCTCAGCTGAGCTCTTGGTATTTGTTTCACATTTCCTAAGCTGGTGGTAGGAAACATGGTTTAAAAATGTTTATCTTTCTAGGTCCCAAAAATTGGGCTTTCTCAAAGATCCTAATGTTTCTCTGGTAGTAGGAAATGTCCAATGAATCAAACACAGCATGGTTTTCTTTCTCACTCCAACAGTTAGAGAGATTTTTAAAAATTCTTCCTTCAGGGGCAGTGTGTCTTCACCTGTGTGCTTAGGTTTACAGTCTTGCTGCTCTTCTCCCAGTGGCTTAAGGCTTTTGTTTTATAGCAGAGTCATGGTGGGGCTTTGTATCTTTCTTTTATTTTTATTTAATTTAATTTTATTTATCTGTTTTGAGAAGAGTCTTGCTCTGTTGCCCAGGCTGGAGTACAGTGGCACAATCTCGGCTCACTGCAACCTCCATCTCCCGGGTTCAAGTGATTCTCCTGCCTCGGCCTCCTGAGTAGCTGGGACTACAGGCACCCGCCACCACGCCCGACTAATTTTTTGTATTTTTAGTAGAGATGGGGTTTCACCATGCTAGCCAGGATGGTCTCGATCTCCTGACCTCATGATCTGCCCACCTCAGCCTCCCAAAGTGTATCTTTCTTTAACAGCCATGTTTCCTTCGTTCAGGCATGCATGATTGACAGATGATTTATCTACTCCTCCTTCATGTCTCCCAATCATTATCCTGCATGATCTGTTGAGGTCTATGTATGAGGCCTCTGTATGAGGCCTGCCTGTGGGTCCAAACTACGTGTGTTTCCTTGACGCTCATGGGTTCTAAGTCTGTACACTAGACCAGACTAAACTTTCAGTAACTCATTAAAACTTTCCCATATTTTTCTTTCCCAGTTGTATCATCCCCAGCACCTCTTCCCAAACTTATCAAGAGATGAGTCAGTATTTTGATCTTGTTTCTTCATGGATCTCAACTATGTAATTGTTTTCCTTGTTACTTCAGCTAACTAGTGGGTTTAAGATAGGTTATCATTTTATATGTCATCTATCGCTTCCATGCTATTATTTTGGGAGGTAAGGTTTTTTCACAGGTTTCTACATCCTAGGCAGAAACAGGACCTCTTATATCATTTTTATTTGTTTACTTATGTTTACTTATTAACTGACAGATATTGATAACTATAACATGATGTATTGAAGTGTATATGCATTGTAAAATGGTTAAATCTAGCTAATTAACAAATACATTATCTCACATGGTATTTTTGTGTTATCATTTTTGTGGTAAAACACCTCATCTGCCCTTTTTGCACTCTTCAAGACTACGATAGATTATCATTAACTGCAGTCACCATGCTTTAACATAGATTTCTTGAACTTATTCCTTCTATCTGACTGTAACTATATATCCTTTGGCCAATATTCTCCCATCTCTTCCTCTCCCCTAATAACCTCAGCCTCTGGTAACCACCATTCTACTCTTTAATTCTATGAGATCAACTTTTTAAGATATTTTGAAGGAAACATTTACTTGGGTATCTTTTTTGATTTTCTAAAGACTGAAGTCACCTTTTTTTCTGTCCAATGGATAGCTATTTCATCAATATTGTGATTCAAATCTATCTCCTGAAATATGTTATTACTCTTAAGCCATTATCTGCATAAATTTGGTTTTCATTTTGTTCTGTCAATGAATTTACCAACCCTTTTGTTATACCATATATCTATGGTGGGGAGATAAAAGTAGCATTTAACATACCATGCAACAGAAAAAAGAGCATGGTACTTCCTTTCCAGCAGAAGTTACCTTCTTATATGTACTACAAGTTCTCATTGATTGGAGTGTTGACAAGAGGCCCTATTTCAGTCAGTTCTGGACTCCATATTCTTCATGATCATAATCATGTTTTAGATATCCTAATACAGGTTTTACAGGTCCTGGCTTCCAGGTGCCATTATGTAATACTGCAATAGTGAAAACAGTTTTATATGATCTATCCAATCCCAGCCAGCTGCATCATAGAGAAGAAAGGTTCCATTTTATCTTGTGTACAAAAGCTACTGGAGAACGACTATAACAGCCCCAATATCCGATTACAATCTGCATTAATTTATCTGTAGAACAAATCCCAACTTCCTGTCCTGGTTTTCTAGGTCTAATAATCACTGACCTTTATGTGAGATTCCACAAATGATAGAATACTCACTAGTTGTCTCTATATGAGAGTATAATGTTTTTCCCAGTATGGTTAATGGTAATGTATGTTTTTATTTGAGAATTATTATTCAGCTAGTTCATTTGCTTATATCTTTGTTAAACCTTCCAGGCTGATTCCAGCCATGGTCATTCTCCTGAAATAGGAAGTCCATCTAGTGTTCCTACTAGGTTAGTAAGTTAAAGGCTCTTGGTAAGTATTCCAAGACCAACTACTTAAACTGTCACAGAATATCTTGTGCTGCATGGCCAGTTCTGATCAAGTCACTGAATATATTAATACCATTGAATATTTATTGTTTTTATACAACTTTGGAAACTGTACGCACCTAAAAGTATTATGTACCCCATGAGACTGTCATTTAGGTGTATTTGATCCTTCAGTACATCCTCATCTGGCTATGATAGCAGGCATCACATAATTTTCCCTTGCGTGTCTCCAGAGAAATATTATTGGTAATATCAGGACACCAAATAAAATCCAAACTGACCCCTTTGAAGATCTTCATGTTTAATTTGCACTTTCTTTAAATACATTCAGTTGACATTCATGTTCCATATACTCAAAGTAGCAAATAAACTTCTGACAGGCAGACACAGCAATTTGCTTCCTGTCATACCCAGGCAGCTGTCTTAGCAATGCATCATCTTGATTAATAGCCACAACAGAGTGACAGAAGCATTGCTGTTTAGCATTCTCCACCTTTTGTGATTCATTAGCAGCATTCTTCTCAGGTCATGGAAAAAATAACCAGAAAGGTACATATAGACTATAAACTGTGAAGCAAATAGTACTAGCTGGTTATTGATAAGTTGAGTTATCAGGGGTAATGCATCACTTCTTTTTGCCAAATTATCCAGGTGGAGTTTCAGGGCAGAGCTCATAAATTAGCAAGAGTCCAATTTCTCTTTTCTAAAGGGAAGAGATCCAGAGGTTTCTCCTAGCATCTGTCACTAGTGAATGCCAGATTTGGGAGAGATGGCTAACACTCTTATTCTCTTGCTCTGAGGCACTTTTGCATAAATAGTGTAGGTGGCATTCTTTACTGAGATCGAAACTCACTTATGAGCATCCATTTGTTTCCCATAATTTACCCCATTTACATTTATTGCTTCTTTTGACCCACACATTTTTGGGTTTAGGGGGCTCAGATGTATGGGTCTCCTATAGGGTGAGCGATAACAGCATATTTGCTCATTCTTCTACTTTTCACTAGCCTAGAAAGATTCCAAAGTTTTGCCAGGTAACAGATAAAATGTCTATTTCTTCCACTTGCTCTGAGGATGATCAGCATCAGAAGTCTAAAAATGAGTATAACTGGAATTGATGCTGATGTGGGCAGGATCACCCTCCACCCACTGAGATATCTACATCTCAACCCTCAGACCTGTGAATACATTAAATTACATGGCAAAAGAGACTTTGCAGATGTGATTAAGGTCATGGACTTTAAAATGGGGAGATTTTTCCTGGATTATCCAGGTGAGCTAAATATAGTCACATGAGCCTATAAATGCAGAGAATTTACTTTGGCTGGAAATAGGAGAGATGGGGCAGAAGGGGAAGTCAGGTATATTCAAAATGTGAGGAGCACTGTCCCTCTGTTGTTGGCTTTGAAGATGGAAGAAGTGGAGCATGAGGTAAGGAGTGTGGGAGGTCTCTAAAAATAAAAAAAAAAAATGACCCTTGGCTGACAACCAGTAAGGAAATGAGGATTTTAGTCTTGTATCCAAATAGTGCTGAATTCTGCCAAGAAACTGAATGAGTTTAGAAGTGCAGATCCCCAGTGCTTTCACAAAGAAACACAGCCCAGCAACACTTTGATTCTGACTTTGTAAGACTCTAATCAGAGGATCCCAGTAAGCTATGCCTTACTGGGATTTTTTAAATCCATAAAACAGATGTTTAAAAATGAGTGTTGTTGTATGCCTCAAAGTTTGTGGTAATTTTCTTTGGCAGCAATAGAAAATGAAAATAGACACTGACTCTACAATAATTGACACTCTTTTTATCTTCTACTCTTTCCCACTGAGATGATGCAGGATAATATCTCTCATATAAGGTATGGAACTTGAAATCACATCACAAAGTCTCTTTTGCTATGTAATACAGCATATACACAGATTCCAGGAATAAAGGTGTGGGCATCTTTGAGAAGTACATTTTTACTCATTTGGCCCACCGTGACATTCATTTTGATTAACACTATACTACTGACCACATAAAAATTAGGAAAAAGAAACATAATATTATATCAATATACAACATTTCTATTAACTTTAAATGTATAGGGATGCTACTCTTAAAATCTAGAATTGGTTGAATATATTACCCAGAATATCCCCAATCATGAATTCAGTGATGTAACCACAGAATAATTTGTCCAATCATACCTTGCAATTCATAATTTAACCTTCAGCTTGTCCCTGGCAATGGATGCCTCTAAACCCTCCCAGATTTACCTTCTGCTCTTTCATATCAGCATCTCTATTCTCTTTACAGATCACTGATAATTAAGTGCTAGGATCTAATAATAATAATAATAATGTATACCACTTCTGGCCCTTTAATCAAATTGTTGCTTATGTCCTGTCTTAGCTCTACTATAACAAAATACCATAGACTGGGTGCTTAAAGAAACAGAAATTTATTCTCTTATAGTTCTGGAGGCCGGAAGTCCAAGATGAGAGTGACAGCAAGAATGGTCAGGTTCTGGAAAGGATACTTTTCCTGGCGTGCAGACAGCTACCTTCTCAATGTGTTCTCATGACAGAGAAAGAGAGAGAGATTCCTCCTCTTAAAAGGCCACCAATCTTACTTTGAGGATCTCACTGTCATGACCTCACCTAATGCTAATGACGTCCCAAAGACCACATCTCCAAATAACATCACACTGGCAGTTAGGGATTCAGTACATGAATAGGAGAGGAACACACACATTCATTCCATAACATGATCTAAAATTCTTTACTAGGGGTTAGGTCAGCAAATATTGACCTCTCAGTCAAGCTTTTTCAGAATTCTATGGCTTCAAGTGAAGAGATAAATTCAGTCCCCTTCTAAAATAGTTTACATTCTAGAACATGATCCTGAATGTTGGATTTTAATTTCTCCAGGCCTAGTTTATATAGAAAGTAGGGTTTTAAGAGAGGGGATGAAGCCAGAGAGTATCCTCACCCCCTGAATATTGGTAATGAGCTGCCAACTCCATAAAAATGTGTTAGTTTTCTTCTTTTTTATTCAATCCTTCAAAGGCCTTTTAAAACATTTTATTTATTTATTTATTTATTTATTTATTTATTTATTTTTTCTTCACCAAAACAAGACACTTGATCAAAGGCCTTTTGAACAACATTACCCAATTGAGCTGTTATCTATTCCTTCTCCCTCACCATCTTTCATTTCCTTCTCTGATACATACCTTTGATTTGTTGGCATGAATCATGGTAACTGAGCCAGCAAGTTCCTTCCTGCTGAATATGTGCTCGGCCTCCCAGGAGCAAGGTTACATAAAGTGCCCAAGATTGGAGAGCCACATTTTTTATAGCCTCTGTCAGCATCACTACATTGGTCAAGGCAGCTAAAGAAGCAAAAGAAGGCATTCCTGTGGCGAGAGAAAGAAACATACACATACTTAAAAAAATCAATCCTTACATGCCAACCTGTTGTTTTTAAATTCAGCCTTTATTAGGGCCAAAACAATAGATAGAATACAGAATGTTATGCAAATGTTTATTTTATCTTCTGATTCCTGATAATCCATTTAGTTCCCTTTGGTCTAATTCCTCCAGATTCTATTGATAAAAATATTTTTCTGTAATATTCCTAAAGGTGTTTGTCATTCAATAACAAGGATGGGGTGCAGCCACCTTAACATTTTATTTTTATCATATTTGTCTTTTGCCTCCTTTTCTTTCTTCTCAAAATGTCTTTATCATTATGATTTGTGAGTCTGAAAGACAATCCCATTAACAACTCTAATTTGAAATAACGCAGAGTCTGATGGTCAAATCTTACTTACAAATTTGACATCATGCCTAGTACCATACACATAAAATACACATGCCCTCATAATGCCTAACATAATTTTCCAGCAATCAGTGTGAAGAAATAACTAGAACTGGCTTTAAATGCAGCAAAGTATGAGCGTTTAGTCAACATTTATAAGGAAAATACCAATTCAGTAAATAAACATGGTATTTACCCTGTTGAATTGCATATTATATATTTATGTGTAATATATATTTACATGTCGTTTATATAAATATATAATTGTGTGTGTGTATTTCCACTGATTGCTTTTTAATGATGCTTTGTGTATTTTCTATGGCTGAAATTGGCTGTGAAATGGATGCAAGACACATTAATATCTGTAAAAATCCATCTGTTTGAAAATGTAGTGCACTCCTTAAATAATAAATTAATCAATTAGAAAAATATTGAAAACTGACACTAAAACAGTAGAGATATCACAGGACAATATTCAGTATTACTCATTGCTAAGGAAATTGTGAGTTGCTAAATGTTTGCATAGTCATTTGTTAATGAAGAAGAACCAAAAAAAAGTATTTCCCTTTGGGAATATACCAAAAGATAATGCATAGTGGAGAAAAATACTTTTGAAAATATTAATGGAATTCTTGAATAAGAAAAGCTGTGTTTCCTCGAACTATCTTAAATCCTTTTTTTACAATATGTATTTTTCAGGCCACATATACCTCAGCTGGAAATTTCTGCTTTGCCATGAGTTAAAGAAACAGCCATGCAGAACTCTCTCAAGGGAAACTGCAGGAATGTTTTATTTTTTTTCTTGTTCATTCCAACTAATATTATGTTCTTGATATCTCTCAAAGTTTTCTTAAAGATTTACAGTCCTCTGGGCTACAATGTCAATCAACATCAGAGTTCAGATTATGGCAAGGTAGACAAATTTCTCTTTAATAAAAATGATCAAACTCTGGAAGGGAAAGATTAAGCACTAGATATAAACCTAGACAATCTGATCATCCCAAGAGAATACTGTGGTACTGTTTTCTGCTCTACTACCTTCTTTCTTTTAGCAATAAGGGGAACACAAAAAGTACATAAAGTTTTCTATGCTGTAATTACATTATTTACCAAAACCCTGGACAATATCACTAAAACAGTTGATATGCTCGCTACAGAAGTATTCAAAATTGAAAGGCAATTATTAAAATCTAGAGGGACGGGATAATTTCTTGGATTCAAGAGGTGGCACATGTGTAGCTCTTTGAGAAAATTATTATACCTATGTCCCTGCAGATCTCTCTGAAACATTTAGGGGAAAAAAACATCTGAAAAACCAATTAACTCTTAACCCTTATCTGGAACCAAAATATTTTTCTGGACATTTTTAAAAAATTCATATAGTTTTGCTCAACTCCATTTTTTAAAAAACAATTTTGACTATTTCATTGCCTTTGGTACTCCTATACTGCTTCTTAAGGTGGAGTTTTATTTTTTTCTTAAGTAGTTGCACATAGTTTCTCTAAAATACTTTTCCAAATCTAACAAAGTTGCAAAGGTTTATTACTAATCCAAACATTGCCACAGAATTAAATAAATTGGAAATTTACGTCATTGCTCGGTGTACTCAATAAGAAAAACCATTGAGGCCAGTTTGTAGCTACGGCTGAAAAAAAAAAAAAAAGAGCTACAGCTGTAATTATGGCTGTGTTCTAACTGTGAGCAATGCAGTCTATAATCCCCCTTATGCATTTTCAAGCTCAACTACCTGTGCTGATCTTTTAACTATTTTATGGACTTGAGAGACATTTATATGAGTTGTTGTTTTGTATGTACATCATAATGAGAATGTGGACCAGTGTTTAAGGACCAGTTACCATTTTCCTATCAATATTTGCTTGTTGAATGCAATTTTTAGAAAACAAAAATTGAATATACATAGGAAAATCTTTAGTATTTAATAGGAAGTCACTATTATATAAATTCTAAATCTAGACTTTGTTCCATTTTTCAGACATCTATAAACATGCAATCTATATTTTCTCATTTTGATTTTATGACACAAAGAGGAAGCCTAGATTAAATCCTTCCTTATAATCTTTTTCTTTCCCCTATTTTTTTCTGGAACCAATTTTGGTTTACTTCCTTTAAGACTTCATCGTTTATTCTTGTCTTCAAGGACCACATAAACATAATGTCAACCTTTATTCCTGATCCAAGTACTGACTCCATGCTTTAAAAATGTATTAAAATGGATAATAACCTCTAACTTCTATGTGGAACTTACTATGTGTCAGACCTGGTGTGAAGTGTTTTTTACATATTGACTTATAGAACCTGTATAGCAAATATCTGAAATTGATACAATTATTAGGTCAATTTAATGGATAGGGAAAAGAAGACACGGAGCTGTTAAGTAACATGTTCAAGGTCACATAACTAGTAAGTGACAAACTAGAAGCAGCATAATTTGTATAAATAATTTCACATTTAGAAGTAAGCATTTGATATAATTCCAGGTGATTTCAGAACATTCACAAATTCAACCATAGATATATTTCTTGAGCACAGTGCTGAAAAATTTGTCTTCTAAAATAAACTTCTTCCTAGTAACAAACAAAAGCAGTTTTATTAGAAAAGGAATGGGTATTATTTTATAACACAAGGCAAATTTTATTCACAGCCCACCATCATTTTGTTTCTATGTAGATCTACGTAGATAGTAGGGGACTACTAAGTTATACTTTACTTATGTGAAAATAATATTGTTCATAGGTTTCTCATGGGTCTGAAAGAGACAATATATTTTTAAAAATTAAATTCTTAAACTATGATATAGTAGCTTTATTAACAAAAATGACAAGCAAAATTCTAAAGCAGTATTTAAATCTTCAACTGTGAAAAAAAATTGACTCTATTTGAAAATATTTTCCAGAAATTAACAACCCCCCTTGTGCATAGTTAAATAAAATTTCCAGGCTAAGGTAATATTGAGAATGAGACTCTTTCTTACCTAAACTATGGGTATCCTAAATCTACCCACTTATTAAAATATGGAGGTAAACTATTAACTGAGCTTTTATGGGACCAATAAATGCAACTATTTACTAGCTAAAATTGATGTATGCTCCACAACATGATATCTTATTATTCATTAAATTCTTATTGCCTGCCAATTACTCTAATTTATTGTGAGTAAAACAAAACAGAAAATGATTTTTTAAGCTCATATAAATATTATTTTTAAAAAATCAAAAACTGGTCACTGCTTACCCAAACCCTGGATTTTTTTTTCAAGTAATTAGAAAACCAGCTGTGCTAAACTGGGAATTACAAATGATGAATAGTAATGACATGTATTTAACCACTAGAAGAAAAATAAGTGAAAAACCTTAAAGAAAGCAAGAAAATATATTAACACTTTCTTTCCATTTACCTCCCTTATTCACTGCCTTTTGCCTGACTTAGATGCCCTAGGGATTCTACCAAACAAGAAACCAAGCAGTCTTTTTTCCTTTATGTATCTGATGTAATCAAAAGCATGTTACTCTACCCACCAATACCCCATGAAATTCCACTGACTTTGCTTGCATTCAAAGTTGCCATTAAAAAAAAAATGAATGAAAAATAATGCTGGTGCATCACCTGGAAAAAAAGAGTAATTCTAATAAGAAAAAGCCAAAAAGAAGAAAATCCAAGAGAAAATAAAAGAGTGCACGCTGGAAAACATAGGTGAACTATGGGAAAAGTTAATCATAGATTACTAGGTTTTGGCATAAGTGAACTTTAAGCAAACAAGATGTTTCATCAAAATATTTCTTCTGCTCTTCGTGTGGCTCCTCTAAGGACTTCTTGATGGTTCCATCATGATTTAGGATGATTGATAGCTAAGGCTGTGATATAATTGATCTATGTGTGCATATATATATATATATATATATATACACACATATACATATATATGTAGAGAGAGAACTACAAAGGTAAAATGATGACATTGACTTTAAGCAACATAGTCTCCTTGGCTTTCCTCCATGATTCACAACTTGTAAGGAGAGAATGGCAATGGTCACTGGCACTGTTGGCTACTTAATTTGAGATTTTAGCAGCTCCAGATGTTGGGGCTTCTGCTGTTCTAGTTCCACCTCTGGGGTGAATTGAATCCAAAAATTCTTCACACCTTTTCTTTGTTAATGTTATTCATCTACATCCTTTCCCTAATGTCTTCCTCCTACAGAGAGAGAATGATAGTTCTTCACCCATGTTGAATTTGGACTTGGCCACTCAACTTGCTTTTTGCCAGTGGAGCCTAGGTGGGTGAAAGTGTGCCAGTTCCAGATCAAGGCCTAGAGAGGTATCAGATGTTACACTTGGGCTTCTGACTTGTACCATGAGGAGAACTTGTCCGGGTTGCTGCTTGGCCAAAGAGAATGTGGGGGCATGTCAAGTATTCCTGAACCCAAACTATAGCTGGAGCTAAGCCAAGGTCACAGGGAGTCTGAAAATGTTTCTCTGCCTGGGTCAGGCAAACCATAGGTGACTTTTGTATCTGTGAGCACAAAGGAAAGAGCATGCTTGTTATCATAAAGCATAAAGACGTGTTTTCTGTTTGACCTCGGTACAGCCTATTACATGATTAATCGTAGCATATGATTGTAATAATCTAATCATTTGACTTGATATTGAACTCTATTATAAGACATATATTTTTAGGGTATATATGACCTTAGGATTTGAGTCTTATTTCTCTCTTCCATGGATTTTTCTGTGTAGTCTAAATTCTTCATGATGTAAGTTAATTACTTAGAAATAAGAAAAAGAGGCCGGGCGCGGTGGCTCACGCCTGTAATCCCAGCACTTTGGGAGGCCGAGGCGGGCGGATCACGAGGTCAGGAGATCGAGACCATCCCGGCTAAAACGGTGAAACCCCGTCTCTACTAAAAATACAAAAAAATTAGCCGGGCGTAGTGGCGGGCGCCTGTAGTCCCAGCTACTTGGGAGGCTGAGGCAGGAGAATGGCGTGAACCCGGGAGGCGGAGCTTGCAGTGAGCCGAGATCCCGCCACTGCACTCCAGCCTGGGCGACAGAGCGAGACTCCGTCTCAAAAAAAAAAAAAAAAAAAAAAAAAAAAAAAAAAAAAAGAAAAAGAAACAGCCTTTCATTCTGAGAAGAAATGTTATTTTATATATTGGTGAACATTTTAATTATATATACTTAGAGCGATAATTTATACATATATATATGTATGGCTTACAGTGCTTTAGGTAATTTTAATGTAAAATATCTTGAAGATTTTATAAGTATTTATCACATCTCACTCACCCTTCACCTCTGTTCTCTGGCCACACTGGTCTTCCAGATCTTCCAAAGTGTCATGCTCATTCTCACATCTGAACTTCCAATAAGGTATTCTTGTACCCTGAATATCTTCTACTGACTCATTCACCCAGACAAGATCTGGTTATCTTTGAAATCTCAGTTCAGACACATTCTTGAGTAAGATTTATGTAATGCATCCAGACTACAACAGCCCTCCTTATATTTACGTACAGAACACACATATGCACACATATATATTGAAAGTAGGAAGGAAAGAAGAGATTAAAGAAATAAAATTGCAGAATGTAGCATTTTGAAAAACCTTTCAATCTAAACTTAAAAAATATAATATTTTATTTGTCTGAGAATTTTGACTTGTTCTGCCTAATGTTTGGGCATTTTTGTTACTGAACACAAATTGTGTATAAATATTAGTGAGACTATGACCGGTCTTATTAGTAAATAACATACGTAGATGAGGTTTCTTTAAATAATGGCAATATTTTTGTGACAAAAAATATATGCGTGCTTTCTTTTGTATGCTGCAACTTCAAGCAGCAAATCTTCGGTAATTTATATAATAGCAGTCCCGCTTACTGTGCATATGTCACAATATAATTCTCTACAAGACAAATATGTGTGATTACATTCACTAAGTAACACTGAAGAGCTCCAAATCATTCACTGGGAAAGCTGTGGCTGCTTAAGTAAAATTAGTTTGGCTTTTCATTTAGTTCTATTTCCTTTCATTCAGAGATTTAGCTTTTAATGCTTGGGAATGAAAAAAAAAGGAAGTTTTGCTGTACTCAAGTTCAGAGAGTGAAGAGATCAGGAAAGACATGAATGCTCAGCTAAATAATTGATTTCTGATGGCTTTTCCTGAAATTAGAAATATTAATTTATAGAGAGATTAAAAAAACTTTATTTAAAATTTTGAATATCCTTAAATTGAAGGAAATAAAATCATTGTAACATTGCGTTTACTTGTTTATCTGTGTCTTATCTGGTTCTTGAAAATAGAATATCTTCTATAGACATAAGAATAAAAGGTGAATAATAGGTAGCTGAATAAATAATAATATGAATAATAACAAAATAATTGTTTATTGGGCACTTTCTCAACACTTTGCCACATCCTCTGCATGCATTATATATTTTAATCCTCACAAAATCTCTAAAGCTGGAGATCCCTTTTCACCCTATTTTACCATATGGGAAATTCAGGCCTAGGGAACTGAAGTAACTGACATTTATACAGATGCTAAACAGCAGAATTGAGTTTGAGCACAGTCTGCATTACTTA